>NC_000011.10:38090303-38241818 GCF_000001405.40 Homo sapiens | reverse complement strand
ATCAATGAGGCTACATATATACATCATTAGAGTTGCAGAAGAAATTAGAAGGAAAAACAGATAAAATAATGGGGAAGAAATAAAAATGTAAAACAATGTTTAAAACAAAGAAAGGAAGGAAAAAAGAAACAGCATATAGTATACATATATAATCAAATAAAAAGGAGGTAAATTTAAATAGAAGCATATTGATAGGAAAGCAAGATCCACCAATATGCTATCTACAAGAAACATTTAAGAAAAATACTGAGAAAAATAAAAGTAAAGTTAGTAGAAAAGCCATTTGAACATTAATTTTCTAAAAACCTGGGCTGTAATATTGAAATAGACTTCAGAATAATGAACATTTCCTAATGATAGAAAAAATAAGTTCATCAAAGCACATTAGAAAAATAAGTATGTATGTATCTAATAAAGAAATTCAAGATACAAAAAAATAAAGAGGAAACTAAAGAGAGAAATGAGAAAAACCTTTGGTAATATTTTGGGATTTCCAGCAGAACCTTACAAGCTAAAAGAGATTGGGGGTCAATATTCAGCATTCTTAAAGAAAAGAAATTCCAACCCAGAATTTTGTATCACCAGACTAGCTTCATAAGCAAAGTAGAAGTAAGATTCTTGTCACACAAGCAAATGCTAAAGAATTAATTACCAGTAGACATACCTTAAAAGAGCTCCTGAAGGAAGCACTAAATATGGAAAGGAAAGACCACTACCAGCCACTACAAAACACACTGAAGTACACAGACCATTGGCACTATAAAGCAACTACATAAACAAGTCTGCATAATAACTAGCTAACATCATGATGACTGCATCAACTCCTTTCATGTTACTACTAACCTTGAATGTAAATGGGCTAAAAGCCCCAGTTAAAAGGCACAGAGTGGCAAGCTGGATAAAAAACCAGGACCCATTGGTATGCTATATTGAAGAGACCTATGTCATATGCAATGACAACCAAAGGCTCAAGATAAAGAGATGAAGAAAAATCTACCACACAAATGCAAAACAGAAATCAGAAATTGCAACAAAAAAAGATTAAAGAAAAGAAGACTAAAAAAAAAAAAAGAACAGCATTACATAATGGTAAAGGGTTTACATCAAGAAGAAGACCTAACTATGCCATATATATATATATATATACAACTAACACAGGAACATCCAAATTTATAAAGCAAGTCCTTAGAGACTTTCAAAGAGACTTAGATTCCCACACAATAATAGTGGGAGACTTAAACATCCCACTGGTAGTATTAAACAGATCATCAAGACAAAAAATTAACAAAGATATTCAAGACTGGTTCTCAGCACTTGATCAAATGGACCTGATAGTCATCTACAGAACTCTCCACCCATCAAAAACAGAATACACATTTCTGTCATTGCCAGGTGGCACATACTCTAAAATCAGTCACAATGTTGAACATAAAACACTCCTTAGCAAATGCAGTAAACTGAAATAATAACAACAACTCAGACCACAGAACAGTCAAATTAGAAATCAAGGCTAAGAAATTTGCTCTAAACCATACAATGACATGGAAATTTAAAAATCTGCTCCCCCATAACTTTTGGACAAATAATGAAATTAAGGCAGAAATCAAGAAGTTCTTTGAAACAAATGAGAACAAAGATAAAACATACCAGAATCTCTGGGAAACAGCTAAGACAGTGTTAAGAAGAAAATTGATAGCACTAAGTACCCGCATCAAAAAGTTGGAAAGATCTCAATTTGACAATGGAACATCACATCTGAAAAAAATAAAAAGGTAGCAAAAGAGAAGAAATAATGAAAATCAGAGGTTAACTGAAATAGAGTGCAGCATGAAAAACCATTCAAAACATTAACAAATGCAGGATTTTTTTAACTAATAGGTAGACTGCTAACTAGATTAATAAAGGAGAAAGGAGAGAAGATAAAAATAAACACAATTAGAAATGACAAAGGGAATAATACCACTGATCAGACAGAAATACTAATAACTATCAGAGAATATGAGCACCTCTACACACATGAAATAGGACATCTAGAAGAAATGAAGAAGTTCGTGGATACACACACTCTCCCAATACTGAACCAGGAAAAACTTGAGTCCGGGAACAGACCAATAATGAGGTCCAAAATGGAATCAGTAATAAACAGCCTACCAACTCCACAAAGCCCAGAACCAGACAGATTCAGAGCTCAATTCTACCAGATGTACAAAGAAGAGCATGTACCATTCCTACTGAAATTTTTCCAAAAAATCAAAGAGGAGTGACTTTTCCCTAACTCATTCTATAGGGTCAGCATAATCCTGATACTAAAACCTGGCAGATGCAACCAAAAAAAAAAAAAAAAGAAAAGAAAAGAAAGAAAACTGCAGGCCAATATCCTTGATGAATATTGATGCAAAAATCATCAACGAAATATGGCAAACCAAATCTAGGAGCACATCAAAAATTTATCTACCACAGTCAAGGAGGCTTTATCCCTGGGATGCAAGGTTGGTTCAACATATGCAAATCAATAAATGTGATTCATCACTTAAACAGAACTAAAGACAAAAGCCACATTATTTTCTCAATAGATGCAGAAAAGGCTTTCAATACAATTTAATATCTCTTCAGGTTAAAAACTCTCAACAAACTAGATATTGAAGGTACATACCTCAAAATGACAAGAGACATCTATGACAAACCCACTGCCAACATCATACTGAATGGGCAAAAGCTGGAAACATTCCCGTTGAGAACTGGCACAAGACAAGGATGCCGTCTCTCACCACTCCTATTCAACATAGTATTGGAAGTCCTGGCCAGACCAATCAGGCAGAAGAAATAGAGGGCATCCAAATAGGAATATAGGAACTCAAACTATCCCTGTTAGCAGACAACATAACCTTACATCTAGAAAAGCCCAAAGTCTCAGCCCAAAAGCTCCTTCAGCTGATAAACAAGTTCAGCGAAGTCTTAAGATACAAAAGGAATGTACAAAAATCACTGGCTTTCCTATAAACCAGCAATAGCAAAGCTGAGAGCCAAATCAAGAATGCAATCTTATTCACAATACTTATAAAAAGAATAAAATACCTAGGAATACAGCTAACCAGGGAAGTAAAAGATTCTTACAAGGAGAACTACGAAACACTGCTCAAAGAAATCAGAGATGACACAAAGAAATCAGAGATGACACAAACAAATGGAAAAACATTCCATGCTCATGGATAGAAAGAATTAATATTGCTAAAATGGTCATTATTCTCAAAGCAATTGATAGGTTCGATGTTATTTCTATTAACCCACCAATGAAATTCTTCACAGAACTAGAAAAATCTATTTTTAAATTGATATGAAACAAAAAAAGCCTGAATAGCCAAGACAATTCTTAGCAAAAAGAACAAAGCTAGAAGCATCACCTTACTAAGCTTCAAACTATACTACAGGGCGACAGTAAGCAAAACAGCATGATACTATACAAAAACAGACACATAGACCAATGGAACAGAATAGAAAGCCCAGAAATAAGGCTTCACAACTATAACTATATAATCTTCAATGAAGCCGACAAAAACCAGCAACGGAGAAAGAACTCCATGTTCAATAAATGGTGCTGGCTAACCATATGCAGAAGATAACACAGGACCCCTTCCTTACACCATATACAAAAATCAACTCAAAATGCATTAAAGACTTAAATGTTAAACCCAAAACTATAACAACTCTGGAAGACCACCTAGGCAATACCATTCTGGAAAGAGGAAAAGGCAAAGATTTTATGATGAAACCATCAAAAGCAATTGCAACAAAAACAAAAATTGACCAATGGGACTTAATTAAATGAAAGAGCTTCTGCACAGCAAAAGAAACTATGTACAGACTAACAGATAACCTACAGAATGGGAGGAAATTTTTTGCAAACCATGCATCTGACAAAGGTCTAATATCCAGCATCTATAGAGGACTTAAACAAATTTACGATTTAAAAAATCCCATTAAAAAGTGAGCAAAGAACATGAACAGAAACTTTTTAAAAGAAAACATACATGCAGCCAACAAACGTATTTTTTTAAAAAGCTCAGTGTCACTGATTATTCGAGAAATGCAATTAAAAACCACAGTAAGATACCATCTCACATCAATCAGAATAGCTATTATTAAAAATCAGAAAATAACAGTTACTGGGGAGGTTGCAGAAGAAAAGGAATGCTTATACGCTGTTTGTGGAGGGTAAATTAGTTCAGCCAGTTTGGAAGATAGTGTGGTGATTTTTCAAAGAACTAGAAAAAAAACTACCATTCAACCCAGCAATCTCATTACTGGATATATACCCCCAAAATATAGATAATTGTATCATAAAGACACATATACACATATGTTCATTGCAGCACTACTCAAAATAGCAAAGACATGTAATCAACCTAAATGATCATCAATTGCAGACTCAGTAAAGAAAATGTAGTACATATACACCACAGAATACTATACAGCCATAAAAAGAACAAAGTCTACTTGGGAGGCTGAGGCAGGAGAATGGCATGAACCCGGGAGGCGGAGCTTGCAGTGAGCCGAGATCCCGCCATTGCACTCCAGCCTGGGTGACAGAGCGAGACTCCGTCTCAAAAAAAAAAAAAAAAGAACAAAGTCATGTTCTTTGCAGGAACATGGAATGGAACATGGAGGGAAATGAATGCCATTGTCCTTTGCAAACTAACACAGGAACAGAAAACCAAATACCACATATATTCTCACTTATAAGTGGGCGTTAAATTGTGAGAACACATGGACACATAGAGGGAAACAACAGACACTGGGGCCTATCAGAAAGTGGAGGGGGGAGGAAGGAGAAGATCAGGAAAACTAACTAATGAGTACTAAGCTTAATAACTGAGTGATGAAATAATCTGTACAACAAACCCCCATGACACAAGTTTACCTATGTATCAAACCTGCACATGTACCCTTGAACTTAAAATAAAAATTTGACAAAATAATTTTAAATTTAATAACTGTTTTTATTAATTGCTATGACAAATAGATGAAGAATATAGAGTACTTGTACACCACTATCAACCACATCTCTTCAAAATTTTACTAGATGTTCCAGCCATTGCAAAAATAAGTAAAATGCATACAGAGATTGGAGAAAAAGTAAACATTTTCCGAAAGTTTGTAGATGACAGAATTGTTTATGCAGAAAATATTAAGGTAACTATAAAACTCCTATCAGAACTAAAATATGTACTTAACAAGGCTTGAAAATATAAGTCCCATACTTCTTTAAAAAACAGTTTTTTCTAGATGGTAAGAAGTATCATGAAGAAGCAGAAATAGAGAAAAAAAGAGATGATGCTATTTACAGTAGCATCAAACACCATCTTCAATGACATTAAAATCATAAAATACTTATGGTATTGATGTGAAGATAGACAAGCACATTAATGGAAGACAAGGGAGTCCGTAAAAAGGTACACATGATTATATACACACATCTTTAAGATAACTTACTTAGCAAGTGCAAATAGTCTTTTCAAATAATGTTGCATGGGCAATGGTCTACCTATCTCTGTGTTAGTCCATTCTCACATTGCTATAAAGAACTGCTTGAGACTGGGTAGTTTATACACAAAAGAAGTTTATTTATTTTTTTTATTATACTTTAAGTTCTAGGGTACATGTGCACAACGTGCAGGTTTGTTACATATGTATACATGTGCCACGTTGGTGTGCTGCACCCATTAACTCGTCATTTACATTAGGTTTATCTCCTAATGCTATGGCTCCCCACTCCCCCCAGCCCACAACAGTCCGCGGTGTGTGATGTTCTCCACCCTGTGTCCAAGTATTCTCATTGTTCAAAGAAGTTTAATTTACTCACAGGAAGCATAGCTGGGGAGGCCTCAGGAGGAAACTTACAATTATGGCAGAAGGTGAAGGGGAAGCAAGCACATCTCCACATGGTGACAGGAGAGAGAGAGAGTGAAGGGGGAAGTGCCATACACTTTTAAACTATTAGAACTCATGAGAACTCACTCACTATCACAAGAACAGGCAGGGGAAAATCTGTGCCCATGATCCTATCTCCCCCAACCAGGTCCTTCCACCAACATTGGGAGTTACAATTCAACATGAGATTTGGGTGGAGACACACAGCCAAGCCATATCAACCTCACAGAAAAAAAAAGAAAAAATTGTTTTAATAATTTTTTTTAAATTATTATACTTTAAGTTCTGGGATACATGTGCAGAGCATGCAGGTTTGTTACATAGGTATACACATGCCTTGCTGGTTTGCTGCACTCATCAACCTGTCATCAATATTAGGTATTTCTCCTAATGCTATCCTTCCCCTATCCTCCCACTCCCCGACAGGCCCCAGTGTGTGATATTCCCCTCCCTGTGTCCATGTGTTCTTATTGTTCAACTCCCACTTATGGATGAGAATATGCGGTGTTTGGTTTTCTGTTCTTGTGTTAGTTTTGCTGAGAATGATGGTTTCCAGCTTCATCCATGTCCCTGCAAAAGACATGAAATCATCCTTTTTTTTTTTTTTTTTTTTTTTGAGATGGAGTCTTGCTCTGTCGCCCAGGCTGGAGTGCAATAGTGCCATCTCAGCTCACTGCAACCTCCACCTCCCAAGTTCAAGTGATTCTCCTGCCTCAGGCTCTGGAGTAGCTGGAATTACAGGTGTGTGCCACCACGCACAGCTAATTTTTGTATTTTTAGTAGAGGCGAGGTTTCACCGTGTTGGCCAGGCTGGTCTCAAACTCCTGTCCTCAGGTGATCCACCTGCCTCAGCCTCCCAAAGTGCTGGGATTACAGGTGTGAGCCACCGCACCTGGCTGAACTGGTCACTTATTAAGGCTGCATAGTATTCCATAGTGTATATGTGCCACATTTTCTTTATCCAGTCTATCACTGATGGGCATTTGAGTTGGTTCCACGTCTTTGCTATTGTGAACAGTGCTGCAATAAATATACATGTGCATGTGTCTTTATAGTAGAATGATTTATAATCCTTTGGGTATATACCTAGTAATGGGATTGCTGGGTCAAATGGTATTTCTGGTTCTAGATCCTTGAGGAATCGCCACGCTGTCTTCCACAATGGTTGAACTAATTTACACTCCCACCAACAGTGTAAAGTGTTCCTATTTCTCCACATTCTCTCCAGCATCTGCTTCCTGACTTTTTAATGATCATCATTCTAACTGGCATGAGATAGTATCTCATTGTGGTTTTGATTTGCATTTCTCTAATGACCAGTGATGATGAGCTTTTTTTCATATGTTTCTTGGCTGCATAAATGTCTTCTTTTGAGAAGTGTCTGTTCATATTCTTTGCCCACTTTTTGATGGGGTTGTTTGATTTTTCCTTGTAAAGTTTTTTTTTCTTTCTTTTTTTTTGGCTCTGACATTTATTTTTTATTTTTTTTTATTATTATACTTTAAGTTTTAGGGTACATGTGCACAATGTGCAGGTTAGTTACATATGTATACCTGTGCCATGCTGGTGCGCTGCACCCACTAACTCTTCATCTAACATTAGGTATATCTCCCAATGCTATCCCTCCCCCCTTCCCCCACCCCACAACAGGCCCCAGAGTGTGATGTTCCCCTTCCTGTGTCCATGTGTTCTCATTGTTCAATTCCCACCTATGAGTGAGAATATGCAGTGTTTGGTTTTTTGTTCTTGTGATAGTTTACTGAGAATGATGATTTCCAATTTCATCCATGTCCCTACAAAGGACATGAACTCATCATTTTTTATGGCTGCATAGTATTCCATGGTGTATATGTGCCACATTTTCTTAATCCAGTCTGTCATTGTTGGACATTTGGGTTGGTTCCAAGTCTTTGCTGTTGTGAATAATGCTGCAATAAACATACGTGTGCCTGTGTCTTTATAGAAGCATGATTTATAGTCCTTTGGGTATATACCCAGTAATGGGATGGCTGGGTCAAATGGTATTTCTAGTTCTAGATCCCTGAGGAATTGCCACACTGACTTCCACAATGGTTGAACTAGTTTATAGTCCCACCAACAGTGTAAAAGTGTTCCTATTTCTCCACATCCTCTCCAGTTGTTTCCTGTCTTTTTAATGATTGCCATTCTAACTGGTGTGAGATGGTATCTCATTGTGGTTTTGATTTGCATTTCTCTGACGGCCAGTGATGGTGAGCATTTTCTCATGTGTTTTTTGGCTGCATAAATGTCTTCTTTTGAGAAGTGTCTGTTCATGTCCTTCGCCCACTTTTGGATGGGGTTGTTTGTTTTTTTCTTGTAAATTTGTTGGAGTTTATTGTAGATTCTGGATATTAGCCCTTTGTCAGATGAGTAGGTTGCAAAAATGTTCTCCCATTTTGTAGGTTGCCTGTTCACTCTGAGGGTAGTTTCTTTTGCTGTGCAGAAGCTCTTTAGTTTAATTAGATCCCATTTGTCAATTTTGGCTTTTGTTGCCATTGCTTTTGGTGTTTTAGACAGGAAGTCCTTGCCCATGCCTATGTCCTGAATGGTAAAGCCTAGGTTTTCTTCTAGGGTTTTTATGGTTTTAGGTCTAACATTGAAGTCTTTAATCCATCTTGAATTAATTTTTGTATAAGGTGTAAGGAAGGGATCCAGTTTCAGCTTTCTACATATGGCTAGCCAGTTTTCCCAGCACCATTTATTAAATAGGGAATCCTTTCCCCATTGCTTGTTTTTCTCAGGTTTGTCAAAGATCAGATAGTTGTAGATATGCGGCGTTATTTCTGAGGGCTCTGTTCTGTTCCATTGATCTATATCTCTGTTTTGGTACCAGTACCATGCTGTTTTGGTTACTGTAGACTTGTAGTATAGTTTGAAGTCAGGTAGCGTGATGCCTCCAGCTTTGTTCTTTTGGCTTAGGATTGCCTTGGCGATGCGGGCTCTTTTTTGGTTCCATATGAACTTTAAAGTAGTTTTTTCCAATTCTGTGAAGAAAGTCATTGGTAGCTTGATGGGGATGGCATTGAATCTGTAAATTACCTTGGGCAGTATGGCCATTTTCATGACATTGATTCTTCCTACCCATGAGCATGGAATGTTCTTCCATTTGTTTGTATCCTCTTTTATTTCGTTGAGCAGTGGTTTGTAGTTCTCCTTGAAGAGGTCCTTCACATCCCTTGTAAGTTGGATTCCTAGGTATTTTATTCTCTTTGAAGCAATTGTGAATGGGCGTTCACTCATGATTTGGCTCTCTGTTCTCTGTTGTTGGTGTATAAGAATGCTTGTGATTTTTGTACATTGATTTTGTATCCTGAGACTTTGCTGAAGTTGCTTATCAGCTTAAGGAGATTTTGGGCTGAGACGTTGGGGTTTTCTAGATATACAATCATGTGGTCTGCAAACAGGGACAAATTGACTTCCTCTTTTCCTAATTGAATACCCTTTATTTCCTTCTCCTGCCTAATTGCCCTGGCCAGAACTTCCAACACTATGTTGAATAGGAGTGGTGAGAGAGGGCATCTCTGTCTTGTGCCAGTTTTCAAAGGGAATGCTTCCAGTTTTTGCCCATTCAGTATGATATTGACTGAGGTTTGTCATAGATAGCTCTTATTATTTTCAAATACGTCCCATCAATACCTAATTTATTGAGAGTTTTTAGCATGAAGAGTTGTTGAATTTTCTCAAAGGCCTTTTCTGCATCTATTGAGATAATCATGTGGTTTTTGTCTTTGGTTCTGTTTATATGCTGGATTACATTTATTGATTTGCGTATATTGAACCAGCCATGCATTTTCTTGTAAATTTTTTATGTTCTTTGTAGTTTCTGGATATTAGCCCTTTGTCAGATGGCTAGATTGCAAACATTTTCTCCCATTGTGTAGGTTGCCTTTTCACTCTGATGGTAGTGTCTTTTGCTGTGCAGAACCTCTTCCCATTTGTCAGTTTTGGCTTTTGTTGCCATTGCTGTTGGTGTTTTAGTCATGAACTCTTTGTTCATGTCTATGTCATGAATGGTATATTTTAATTGTTTGAAATGAATTATCAATCTAAATGTAAAAGTTAAAATAAAAATGAGTAGGAGAAAACCTTCTAGGAAAATTTAGTGACCTTGTGTTAGGCAAAACTAGTAACAGCACACAAAAACTAAACCCTATTGTAAGCATAGTGAACTTGGGAGTCATTTATTGAGATGACAGTATTCCCAAACATTATTTTCCTCTTTTTTCCTGTATTCACATCTTGTATGCAGCCTCTTTTTAAAATTATTATTATGATCCTAGAGACACCATAGACCCTGTAGCAGAGACATCCAGAAGCTCCTCAGTTTTTGACACTGGACACAGAGTTAGAACAAATTTCCTAGCCTTCCTTGCAATTAGAAAATTCTGGTGAACTGAGTTCTCATAAATTAATTGTGAGCAGAGTGATGTATTTTATTTTCAGACTTGGCAATTAAAATTTTCCTGAAATGCTTCATACTTTCTCTCCTTCTCATGAACTGCCTAAATGCATATAATCTAGCAGAGGACTCCAATATTTAAGGAAATAATAAAACCAAGGTACAGGAAGATTTAGGCTTCCTGAGTCACCACTTAAGTGGGAATTCCAAGGAGATCCAACTGAACAGGCACACCGTATTGTTTGGTCCTGCAAGTGAGAAGCACTTTCTATTGGGTTATAACATTGAAATTTTGGCACATTTGTTGCACTTTTCCACCTAGCTGCTCAATAAAAGAACCTAAAGTTAAGTGACATATTTCACTCTATTCTGAGTGCACAGTGCCTTACTGTCTTATGTGGAACACGTCCAAATAAATTGGCTTTCTATGATAGTAATTCAGATCCCTGTATTGTTTTTCTAACACCAGATTGTTAAACTTGTTTCTACTCCTGAGTACATTGGTTTTATGATGTATTGGGGAAAACATTGCAGAGTTTTTCATAACTTTGCTTAACAGTAAGCTAGAAATGAAAAATCAGACAACTGAAACCACCTGCTACCATAACCAAGAATCCTCTACTAATTGGGAAAGAGCAGTGGACTTATGAATCATTTTATAATTTTATATTAACTCATTTTTGAATATATTACTAGTTTAGCTGGTTATACAATTAATACTGTGTATTCAGTCATAAAAGGAAAGATAAAATATATATATTTTTTATTAACTCACCCACTAAAACTCTTTTATGATGTTCTTTAACATGGGCTAGATTCATTATAATACATTCATCTCAAAAGCTGTCACTTCCATGAAAGGTAATATTAGTAACATACAATGTTAAAAAGCTCCAGTGTAATTAGAAATTTTATTTGAAATATTTTTCAGATTTAAATCCTCAATGTAAACTGGAAAGTATCATACAGACCTACTGGATTAATTTTAACTCTAAATTTTAAAATGGCATCACAAAATAATTATGCTTACATTAAAATAGTACTGTAAGATTTGAAAATAAAAGTGTTAATCAAATAAGCTCTGACAAAAAATTTTTTTTTTTTGATCATGAAGTGTTTTTTGTTTGTTTTGTCTTTTTTTTTTTTTTTTTAAACAAGGTCTCACTCTGTTGCCCAGGCTGGAGTGCAGTGGCAAGATTTCAGCTCACTGCCACCTCTGCTTCCTGGGCTCAAGTGATTCTCCCGCTTCAGCCTACTGAGTAGCTGGGACTACAGGCATGCACCACCATGCCCAGCTAATTTTTGTATTATTTGTAGAGTCAGAGTTTTGCCATGTCACCCAGACTGGCCTCAAACTTCTGGACTCAAGCAATCTGCCTGCCGTGGCCTCCTAAGATTACAGGTGTCAGCCACCATGCCTGGCCAAGAGGGTTTATGAAAAATGTTCAAAATAAATTTAACTATTTATAATTAATTTTAAATAGTTAAATTAAAATATAATTTACTTTAAAAGAAAAATTAAATTATATTTTATTATAATGTACTTTTATCAACCATGATTTATTTCTTATACAAAAAAACAAACTTTAAATACATGATTACAGCTTTAATTATATATATAATTTTAATTCTCTTTAATATTGAGTATTTATTACCTATAAATCATAGCAAACAAATGGCTATGGTAAAGAGATCAAAGATAATATTAATATATAGATTATTAATAATTGATATACCCTGGTTCTCTTTATTTAACAATAATTTTCTATTGTTAAATATCAAATGTAGTGTGTGTGTGTCAGAATTTAGTTCAAAATAATAAAGCTTGAATAGTTCCATTTGGAGGTACATGTATACATACATATCCTCATGCAAATCTCTCATGTAAGGAAGAAAAAAGTCCTCATGTTTTTTCAGTCATCTTAGTTTGTTCAGGCTGCTATAACAAAATACCATAGACTGAGTAGTTTATAAAAAACAAAATGTATTTCTCATAGTTTTAGAGGCTGAGAAGTTAAGACCGAGACAGTAGCAGATTTGGTCTCTGGGAAGAGCCTCTTTTCTGGCTCATAAAACAGCACCTTCTTGCAGTTTCCTCAAAGGGTAGAATGAATGGATAAACTCCCTTGGGCCTATTTTAGAAGGGCACTAGTTCTGTTCATGAGGTCTTACAACTCATTACCTACTCTCCTCCTAAAAGGTCCCACTTCCTAATGTCACAATTTTAACAGTTGAGATTTCAATATATGAATTTTGTGAAGACACAAACATTCACATTATAGCATCAGGATATTACCAGCAGGGTGTCTCAAATGGGAAATTTTTACACACTTTCCAGAATGCATTTTTTAATTAAACATAATATTGGTATTTAAAGTTTGAAAAATTTCAGCAGGACCAATTTTATTTTTCAAATAATTCTAAAACAATTTGAATTTTGCCTAAATATGAAACCATTCATTAACCTTTCTAAAGGTTTTCTTGATAGGAAATTATGCAGTAGATGTCATTTCCTAAAATTTACAAAAATTTTAGAATATAAATATGTACAGCTATTTTAAGTGAAAACTAAATTATAATATATATGCTTATATAAGAATTCAGGTAATTACTATTTAAAATCTGAAAGTTTTGCCTTGTTTTCTTTTTCTTCAGATTGTCCCATGAACCTAACAGATTAATCAACTATCTAAAATATGTTACATTTGATCAAAGTTGAAAGTATTTCATGTTTTTATACCTATTTCATTTTTCATCACTACAATGGCTTCTAAGTATGCATCATTGCTGTTTTATAGAACCAAGTGATTTCCAAGGTAAGGAAATCACCCAGCGCCAGACAACTCATGGTCTGAAGGTCTAGAGTAGGATGGCAAAATCAATTCCAACTTCTTAGGTGAAAAGATATTGATGTCATCATGTTCTTTCTGTAAAGCTAAAAATATTCTTCCTTAGCAATAAAATGCACATGCTCACAAACAGAAATTCAGATGACCTCTAACTATATGCACTGCTACTTCCCTGGTTCCAAACCCCAAATTCTCTTATAGGATTACTGAATTAGTCATATCTTATCTCTTTGCTTCTCCTATGTTCACCCTTATCTTCCTCCAATGATTAATTAACAGAGAAGTCACGAAGATGCCATAAAAGTGTAAGTGAATCCAGATCACTCCTAATCTCAAAATCTCGCATTTTCTCATTTCATTCAAATTGATGTCAAATCCCTTACAGTGACTTACAAGGCCCTGCCCACTCTGTGCCCCATCCTTTCTCTCTAACACATCTTCATCTACTCAACTTATCTGCTTAGGTCACATTTGCTTTCTCGGTATTCTTGCAACTCCCCACATACCCTCCAGCCTCAGAAACATTTCATGGGGTTTTTTTTTTTTTTTTTTTTTTTCAAGCTGGAATCCATACTCCTCAGATAGCAACACTTGGATCACTATCTCCTTCTTAGTGAGGTTAAATCTGACTACCTTAATGAAGTTACACCTGCACCCAGGCAACGCTCCCGATCACCCTTCCCTTACCACATTTTCTTTCCTCGAACTTTTTTTAGTTAACAAGGTGTTTGCAGTATAATTAAATGGCAAAAATTTATCTAAGTGCCCAATTCAATGATTTTTAGTATATTTACAGAGTTGTACAACATGAACACTATCTAATTTTAAAACATTTTAATAACATTACAAAGAAATCTTATGCCCCTTTACAGTTATTTTCCTGTCCGAAATCCATCTCTAGGCAATTACTAATTTATTTTCCATCTGTATAGATTTGCTTTTTGGGACATTTAATATAAATCCAGTGTTAAAATGCCAATTATTTTGTATGGTTTCTTTTCCTCAGCATGATGTTTTTGTGTTTCATTCACATTATAGAATGTATCAGTATTATTTTCCTTTTATTGCTGAAGAGTATTGCATTAGATGGATATACCTCAATTTGGTTTACTCATTCACTAGTTGATGGACATTTGGGTTGTTTCCACTTTCTGGACATTATGAACAATAAAGCTATGACCTTTCATTTGCAAGTTTTTGTGTGGACATGTGCTCATTTTTTCTATACCCCATTTTTACAGCATATATCACCTTCTTACATAACCATAAATATGCTATTTATTCTGCTAATTACTTGTTGCCTTTCACCAACTGTCAGATACAAGAAAAAGTTTCTCTTCAAAAGTTTAGCTTGTTTAGTTTCCTTGTTCTTTGTTCTCTACTTTCAAGGCCAAACTTTCTTTCTCCCTGTGCCTCCCTGTCTTGGTTTCAGTAAACAACTCTCCTGCCTGTCCTTATCTACAGAACCCAAATCTGTTACTCACTCTGTAAATTACCCTCCTGGTGCAATGACCCTTCCTGCTGAAACTTTCCTTCCCACCAGTGTAACCGCATTCCTGCACTTTTCAAGTTAGCCAACTGGGTTCGGGTTCAGCTTAAATTGTGTGGTCCAACTCCAGCCAATGTAGGCAGTACACAGTAGCAGGGACAAGCTGTGTTAGAAATTAAAAACCCCTTCCCTCTTTTGTTTGGTGTGCTCTTGGGATGACCAGACCTGTGAGAAGCACCCTTCTGCAGAAGTAAATTTGCCTTGCTGAGAAGTTCTTTGTTTAAATGCTCATTTTCTTTGCCACTCTGAGCTTTACTTTCAACAATTTTGGGGGCCCACCCAGGATCTCATTCTCCTCTGGGGATGGGTCTCTGATCATCTCTTGTGAGGAGATGTGTCCTGCTGCCTTGTTGCACTGGCCTCAGGGGTAAGAGATTGAGACCCATCCGGCATGATGAATAAACCCGGACTCTCAGCAATGTCGGAATAAAAGGCCTACAAGTAGATACTTCGGAGACCAGGTAACTCTGGGCACAGACCAAGGTAAGAAAAGCACGGGGGCAGTGAAGTATTTCTTGGTTGGGACTGAGGTAAGAAAAGCTGCAGGGTTGGTGAAGTATTCCGTAGGACATACCAAGGCAAGAAAAGCCACAGGGGTGTTAAAGTATTCCTTGGGTGTGACATCAAGAGACCTCTGGTAGAGGGGGTTAACCCTTTAAGAGAAGGGAAAACAAAAAATCCCTAATACAAGGGATTGACCCTCAGCCAGTCTCTAGAGAGGAGAGGGCAAGAAATCCCTAATATGAGGGATTGAGCCTCAGCAGCCTTCAAAATAGGAAATACCCCAGGTAAAGTAGGAAACAAAAAGGGCCAAAGGGGTAGTAAAATTCCCCCTGACAGTCCCCTAGGCCTCATGCTAAAATATTGGAGGGATAATGAAAGGCCTAAACACAAGAAAAAAAAAAACAGCAAATGATAAAATATTGTTTCATTTGGACCAAAGAACCCATTCTCACACCCTCAGTTTTCTGGCCAAAGTTTGGGTCAAATGAAAATTGAATTTGTTAACTTCTAATAGAATATGTTAATGACAAGAGTCCCATCTCCCAGCAGGAAATAGATTATGCCCTGTGTTGGTGGCAGGGACTTGTCCTCCTTTACCCCCTAAAGGCTATAGGGGGCAAGCCAGAAACCAACTCCTCTGAAAGGAGTGAGGTCTCTACCCCCAAACATCCCACTAACATCTAGAACCCACTAGACCACCTGCCTCCTCCAAATCCCCCAGCCCAAGTGGGCACACAGGAATTCCCTCACTCAGTTCCTTCCTCATATAATCCTGAATCAATGCCCCATGCTCTCCCTAGCCACACGCTTGAGCATGTGCCTCCCCTACAAAAGCTCCAGCGTGAGATAGAACAATGTAAAAAAGATATCCAAAACTTCCCTTTCCCCTCCACCTCTAAGGAATCAACCCCAACTCTCTTACCCTTAAGGGAAGTACCCCTTAGTGGAGGAGGCATTGGCTTTGTAAATACCCCTTTAACCAGCTCAGAGGTCCAAAATTTAAAAAAGCAACTCAAGCCATTATTAGATAACACTTATAGGGTAGCAGATCAAATTAATCAATTTTTGGTGCCACAACTCTATACTTAGGCTGAGTTGATGTCCATCCTGGGCATCCTCTTTTCAGGGAAAGGAAGAAGCATGATCTGCAGGGCCACTATGGTAGTCTGGAAATGTGAACATCCTCCTGGTCAAAACATTCCTGCAATAGATTGAAAATTCCCAGCCCAAGACCCCCAGTGGGACAATAACAATGCAGCTCACCAGAAAAACATGAAAGACCTTGGGGAAATGATAATTAAAGGGATTCAGACCCAAAATCTTTCCCGAGTATTGGATATACAAAAAGGGAAAGATGAAGGACCTATACAATTCTTAGATAGACTGAAAAAAAAAGAGAAAATATGCGGGTCTAGATTTAGAAGATCCCCTAGGGCAAAGAATGTTAAAGCTTTATTTTACTACTAATAGTTGGCCAGACATCTCTAAAAAAATTGCCAAAGATAGAAAATTAAAAAAAATAAACCCATAGGAGAACTTCTAAGGGAAGCCCAAAAAGTATATATAAGAAGAGATGAGAAAAAGCAAAAAAAAAAAAAAAAAAGGCAAAAATTATGCTCTCTACTTTCCAACAGGGGGTCCCAGAAAATAGGGTCCACCGATACCACTCTCTGTCACCCAGAGGCCCATGCACATCTAAACAAAGTATCCAAGGACCCAGGACTCATAAGAAATTTAAGCCCCCACTTGCCAGGGCATACAAAGAGCATAAGGAGGTGGGGCCAGGGAACCTGAACATAGGAAGGGTGGAAGGACAAAATAAATGTTTCACAAGTGGATGAGTACGTCATTTTAAGAGAGAATATCCTGAATGGGAGAAAAAGAAGGAAATCATTCCACTTATGGCCTTTGAAGAAGAATAGGGAGGTCTTGTCTCAACTACATCAAAAGCCCACTGGGGACCCCAGCTATGTGTGATGCAGTTCTCAGAGTTTGTAGGTGTATAGGAATTTATACCCTAGCCAAACAGGTTACAGAGAGTTGATTGATATGTAAGAAAACTAGTAAGCAAATTAAAAAAATGTCACCCCTTGGGGAAAGGGATACAGGCCTAAGGCAATTCCAAAGTGTTCAAATTGACTACACTAAAGTGCCTCCAATCTGTCGCCTGAAGTACTTATTGGTAATAGTAGACCACTTTACTCACTAGGTAAAAGCTATCCCCTTCTCAAACACAACCACCAGTAATGTAATTAAGGCATTAATTAAAAGCATCGTACCCAGGTTTGGACTAATAGAAAACATTGATTCAGAAAATGGAACCCACTTCATGGCTCATGTCATTAAAAACTTAGTCCAGGTGCTAGACATAAAATGGGAATAGCATATCCCTTGACATCCATCTTCCTCAGGAAAAGTAGAAAAAATAAACAGACTCTAAAAAGCCACCTAACCAAATTAGTCCTAGAGACCCAGTTACCCTGGACTAAATGTCTCCACATTGCCTTGTTAAGAATCAAAACCACCCCTCAGAAAGATGTCGGCTTGTCTCCTTATGAAATGCTATATGGGCTGCCTTATTTACATTCCACCACTGACATTTCTACATTTGAAACAAAAGATCAGTTTCTAAAAAACTATATACTTGGTCTATTATCTTCCACTTTCTCTTCCCTCAAGACCAAAGGTCTCCTAGCATAGGCGCCACCCCTGGAGATCATGTCCTCATTAAAGGGTAGAAAAAAGAAGAACTCAAACCGGATTGGGAAGGACCTTGCCTAGTGCTCCTGACCACTGAAACCGCAGTCCGAACAGCAGAAAAAGGATGGACTCATCATACCTGAGTCAAGAAAACATCACCCCCTCCAGGATCATGGGCCATCCTTCCAGGAGAAAGCCCTACCAAACTAAAGCTAAGCAAAACCTAACCTTCCTATATCTAGTATATTATTCTGTCACCTTTCCTCACTTTACAGCTAGTCACTTTATTATTAATGTAACTAGATCAAGCCTATCTCAAGTTATCACTTTTGATGCTTGTCTCGTTCTACCCTATGGGGATATCCAAAACCAAAGAAAGCTAGCCTCTGTTGACAAGTATGTCTGCCCCTCTAGAATAAATAGGACTGCCTTAATAGTGACGCTTGTATCAGAAGTACATGAAGCACTGGGTGGAGGTTCTGTTATGACTGGGGAGACGTAATCTGGACCACCAAATATCAGGGCTGGACCTCTGCAAGAGGAGGCTGCATTGATCTAAAACCCTAAATCCAGTTTACCAAGAGTAACTCCCTCTAGTTGTCAGTTTCAGCGGTGTAACCCTCTGCAAGTCTCCATCTCTGTCCCCACCTCCACCGAAACTAACCCCACTCTAAGTTGCTTCTATGGCCTAACAGCTAATTTTCATTCAGCGACAGACCCAATAGGATCTTTTGAAGTGTGCTTCATTGATCCTCCACCCCTTTCTCTTTCTTCTTCCCCAAAACTTTCTCTCAATCAAACTGGTATTCTTTCCAATAACAAAGCCATAGTCGACATTGTAGAAATTACAAATTTAGAACAAACTTTGACAGTGATAACAGGATACCAAGGTACAAATGCCTGGTTGAAATGGATTAAATATTCTATTTGCACATATAAATAAAAGTTACTGTTACACTTGTGCAGCAGGCAGGCCAGAAGCTCAAATAGCCCCTTTCCCACTTGGATGGTCCTCTGACCGATTGGGCATCAGCTGCATGGTAAGTCTCTTTCAAAACCCCACAGCCTGGGGCAGTAAGGTGAGCAAGACTCTCTCACTACTATTCCCTGAAGTCAAAGGCTCTGTGGGTCAGCCCCCAAGAGCCATCCAGCCTCCGGCCTCAGATGTTAATTTTACCTCTTGTCTCTCACGGTAGGGGCAGAAATTGACGTCTCTTGGAGACCTAAAAGGGTTCAATGAAACTAAGCCTTTCCGAGAGCTTACCAGTCAATCTGTCCTTGTTCACTCCCAAACAGACGTATGGTGGTATTACGGGAAATTACTATTGAGTTCTCTGTCAAATAACTGGAGCAGCACTTACGCTGTAGTCCAATTGGCCATCCCTTTCACCCTGGAATTCCTCCAACACAGTAAGCAAAAAAATCAAGACTGAGTTAGAAGAAGCACTCCACCCAGATATTTTAACCCTCACGTTTACACAAATGCTATTGGAGTCCCACGAGAGGTACCAAATGAATTTAAAGTTCAAAATCAAATAGCTACAGGGTTTAAGTCCATGTTGTTCTGGTGGTCAACAATAAATAAAAATGTAGATTGGATAAATTACATATGTTATAATCAACAATGATTTGTTAATTATGCCAGGGATGCCATTAAAGGAATAGCTGAAACATTAAAATCCAACAGTCAAATGGCTTGGGGAAATAAAATAGCGTTAAACATGATACTAGCAAAAAAAAAGGTGGAGTCTGTGTTATGACCAAAATCCAATGTTGTACATTTATCCCCAAGAACACAGCCCCTGATGGAACAATTACCAAAACTTAACAAAATCTCAGCTCACTATCAAATAAACTGGCCAAAAATTCTGGGAAAAATGACCCCTTCACAAGTTTTATGAAAAGGTGGTTCAGTAAATGGAAAAGGGCTCATGTCTTCAACACTAACCTCTTTTGCAATTGTCATAGTTGTACTTATTCTCATAGGATGCTGTATCATACCCTGCGCCTGGGGATTAATACAAAAGCTTATTGAAACAGCTCTCACCAAAAACTCCCTCAATTCCCCCCTCCCTATTCAAATGGACTTTTTCTTTTAAAAGGCCAAGCAAAACAACAAAGTCAAGATATGTTAAAAAGGTTTGAAGAGGAATACTTATAAAAATTAAAAAGGGGGGAATTGTTAGATACAAGAAAAAGTACCTCTTCAAAGGTTTAAGTTGTTTAGTTTCCTTGTTCTTTGCTCTCTACTTTCAAGGCCAAACTTCCTTGCTCTCTGTGCCCCCTTGTCTTGCTTTCAGTAAACAACTCTCCCACTGGTCCTTATCTACAGAGCCCAAATCTGTTACTCACTCTGTAAATTACCCCTCCTGTCACAACGGCCCTTCCTGCCAAAACTGTCCTTCCCGCCAGTGTTACCTCATTCCTGCACTTTTCAAGTTAGCCAACTGGATTCAGCTTAACTTGTGTGGTCCAACTCCAGCCAATGGAGGCAGGACACAGTAGCAGGGACAAGCTGCATTAGAAATAAAAACCCCTTCTCTCTTATGTTTGGTGTGCTCTTGGGGAAACCAGACCTGTGAGAAGCACCCTTCTGCAGAAGTAAATTTTCCTTGCTGAGAAGTTCTTTGTTTAAGTGCTCTTTTTCTTTGTGACTCTGAACTTTACTTCTGACACCAACCACTGGAACCTAAATTCAAGGATTTCTGTTGTTTTCTCCAAAAGCCTAGAACAGATCTTGGTATATGGTAAGAACTCAAGACATTTGTTGAATAAATAAAATGATGTTTACATTTAAAGTATATTTCTGTTTCCAGATAAGATGTATTTTAAGCAGCATATTTCTTTATGCTTTCACTTTTTTTTTCTTTTTCTTTTTGAGACAGAGTTTTGCTCTTGTTGGCCAGGCTGGAGTGCAGTGACGCAATCTTGGCTCACTGTAACCTTTGCCTCCTGGGTTTAAGTGATTCTCCTGCCTCAACCGCCCAAGTGGCTGGGATTACGGACATGCACCACCACACCCAGCTAATTTTGTATTTTTAGTAGAGAAAGAGTTTCTCCCTGTTGGTCAGGCTGGTCTCAAACTCGACTTCAGGTGATCTGCCATCTCAGCCTCCCAGAGTGCTAGGATTATAGGCATGAGCCTCTGCGCCTGGCCTATGCTTCCACTTTTACATCAAACATTTATTTTATATATTCTATGTTGTGGGAACCATGTGAGGATGGATGTGTATAAAACAGATAGAATAGAACATTATGCTCAAAAAGGTCACACTTGGATGGTGGAGACATATACATAAGGGAAAAAACTACAAAATGATAAAAGGAACTGTGGTAAGCAGAATAGATCCCCAACATGTTCACACCCATATCCTCAGATCTGTGAATATGTTATATAGCAAGGGCGAATTAAGGCTATAGATGGAATTAAGGTTTCTAATTAGTAGATCTTATTATAAGATTGTCCTGGGTTATCTGGTAAATTCAATGTAATCACTGTGTACTTTGAGAGAGGAGGATGAGTCAGAGTCAGAGAAGGTGACAGAAGGAAGCGGAGTGTCAGAGTGATGTGATGTGAGAAAGACTTACTTTTCCATTTATGGCTTGGAAGATGGAAACGCAAGGACTGTGGTGTGCCCCCAAAAGATGGGAAAGGCAAGAACACAAATTCTTCCACAGAGCCACTAGAAAAAATGCAGGCCTGATGACCCCTTGCTTTTAGCTCAGTAAGAGCCATTTCAGACTCCTGACCTCCAGAACTGGAAGATACTGTATTTGCATTGTTCCAAGCTACTAAATTTGTGGTACAGTAGCAGTAGAAGCTAATACAGGAACATTATTGCTAGCTAGACAGAAGGATGAGTGGAGGGGCCTGAATCCCCATTATGTTAATCAAGCTCTTGCTCTTGGGTGCACTCTCCTCAGCCCAAAATAAATGTCAGAGAAGCAGGAGTCATGGTCTCTGCTCTTGAGGAAAGAAGTTTACAAACTAGTCAGATTTTCCAATGGGAAAACACGACCATATGGCAGAGATGCTAGAAGCACAAAACTGTGCCAACAGGATAATCAACTATCATTTACGTGGCCAGCCATCCCAGAGAACTGGCAAGCAAGGAGCATCACTGTAGCAGGTGTTGCTGTAGCCCAAAATCTTACAAAGTGACTAAAAAAGAAACAAAACAAACAAGCAAATAGAAACCCTCTAAGAGCCTGAACTTGTAAAAATTGAGAGACAGCATGGTGTAATCCAAGGGAGTATGGAGTTACCTTAGGCCATCTGGAGACTGATCTCAACTCCACCCCACTGTAGGTTTGTGACCTTGGGCAAGGTACTTAATTATCATCTCTTTCTTTATCTCTAAAATGAAGTTAGATCCTTCCAGCTATTCTCTGGGAACTAGCTGAGATCACTTCCAAAATAAGTTCATTTTCTTTTTCTTTCTTTTTGTTTTTTAAAAACAAACAGATATAAGCAATGATAATTTTAGGAAAAAGTTTGTGTGTAGGATTTACATAAGAATATTCGCATCTGATAGAGTAGCCATGAGCCACATGTGGCTATCAAGCAAGTCAGTGTGGCTAACGTGGCTAAGGAAATGGCTTTTTCATTTTAATTGCCATTAATTTAAATTTAAATAATCATATGTGACTAATGACTACGTTATTGAACAGCACAGTCCTAGATTATTTGCCAGACTTTAAACAAGTAGAAAAAATTAGAGCTTAAATTAACAAAGAGGAGTATACAGGGGTAAGTTGGGAAGAATTATCAGAAAGCAAAACAAAATGTATTACTGAGTACCTATTATGTGCCAAGTATACTATTAGGTACAAAGTATACAATAGTTCATAAATTTTCTTAAAATAAGTTAGCTTTCAAAGATTATTCAAAAAGTTCTTTGTTCATAAGTTCATTTGTCGTAAGTCCAGGATGTCTCTAATACAAGCAAATAACATGTATATGTAAGAATAATTATCATGTTTATATCCTTTTCATTATCATATAACTCGTTTTAAAACAGGTCCACAGTTTCTTATCAATAATTTCAAAATCCAAAATGTTTTAAAAAGTTTTCTGGAAGCTTATGGCAGAAAAATCTGGCCCAATATGGCATACAATATTAAGATAGGTATTAATTTTCTTTTATACCATTTAATGTCAATATCCATATACATCAGTGTAGAAATATAAATGTGTTTAATTGTGTGGTTTGATTCTGACCAAAGGGATAGGAAGAAACTTTCTGCAATAATGGGAATGTTCTTGAACCTGACTGTGGTGGTGGTTGCATGAGGGTATACAATAGCTTAAGCTCATTAAGTACACTTAAAATAAATGTATTTATTTATATATAAACTATGCCTGATTAAAGTTGGTTAGAAAAGAAAAATAAGTGAATACTAAAAAAAAATTGACTATCTACTTTATACGAGGCTGTTTTACACCCTTATAAATACATATATTAACACCTGCTCATATGTACACATAAGCATATAATTTATCTAGAGAACATGTACATTTTTATAAAGTATATCTAAAGAGAGAATATGTTTAATAAAGCACCATAGAAGATTATCATACATAATTGGAAAAACAAAGGAAATTTTTACATAGCCACGTGTTAGTCAGGGCTCTCCAGAGAAAAAGAACTGATAGGATATATGTGTGTGGATATACATATTTGCAGATACATATTTACATATGACTGGCTCACTTATAAGAACTGGCTCAAGTGATTATGGAGGCTGAGGGGTCAGATCTGCAGTCAGCAAGTTGGGGACCAAGGAGGAGTGATACAACAAGCCTGAAAGCCTGAGAACCAGGAAAGACAATGGTATCATTTCAGTCTGAAAGACAGCAAGCTGAGGACTGGTGAGCTGATGCTTCAGTTTGAATCAAAAAAAAGAAATAAACTAATGTCCCAGCTCAAGGGAGTCAGGAGGAAGAGTTTCCTCTTATGAAAGGGAAGGTCAGCCTTGTGGTTCTATTTAGGCCTTTCCTTGATTATTTGAGGCCCATCCATATTGGGGAGGGCAACCTCTTACTCAGTTTACAAATTCAAGTGTTAATCTCATTCATAAACACCCTCACAGACAGACCCAGAATAATATTTGACCAAGTATCTGGGCACCAAATGGCTAAGTCAAGTTGACACACAAAAATAAACATCACAGCCAAAATCCATTTCACATACACTGTTTTTTTTCTTTCTGCTTTTCTGTTGCTTAAATTAAATACTTCAATTCTGAAATGGTAAAACCTAAACAAATACTAAGTATATCTAGTCAAGCACCATCACTTAAGTGTAATAAAAATGAGACTATGGTCCGAGCACAGTGGCCCAAGCTTGTAATCCCAGCACTTTGGGAGGCTGAGGCATGTGGATCACTTGAGGTCAGGAGTTTGAGACCAGCCTGGCCAATATGGTGAAACCGCATCCCTACTAAAAATTAAAAAATTAGCCAGGTATGGTGGCAGGCACCTGTAATCCCAGCTATTTGGGAGGCTGAGGCAGGAGAATGGCTTAAACCCGGGAGGTGGAAGTTGCAGTGAGCCAAGATTACACTGCTGCACTCCAGCCTGGGTGATAAAGCAAGACTCCATCTCAAAAAAAAAAAAAAAAAAAAGAGAGAGAGAGAGACTGTGGTGGAATTACAAGTCAGCTTCTCTTTTGTCTTCTATACTTTTTCTGCAATCTTGGTCCTAATTGGAATTCATCTATCAATCTGACAGAAAATTTCCTTAAAAATCCAGGGAAAAGGAATGTAAATCACCTGAATAGATGAATATTGATTAAGGTAGATCTACTAAATTTTTTTTTTAGTTTACTTTTCCTTTTCCTAAAATGTGTTGTATTTTAACCCTGCTAATAAAAATCTTCAAATGTATGTGCTTATCCTCTATCTTGGTAAAGTCTGTGAATATAACTGACAATTTTTTTTATCACACACAATTTCGAAGTGCCTTAGTATGCCATGTGCCTCACATCTTGTTTCTTTTGGAAACATAGATGCTATGAATGAGTGAGTAAAATATCTCCTTACCCAGGCTATTTCATTGTTATTGTTTTTTTGACAGTAGGGTGGTATGGAGAGATTTGGGAATCAAATGGAAAATAAATTTTACCTTGGCTGCACCATTATAGAGGGCTACATAACCTTAGATTTTTGTTCTTGTTTTTCTAAAGACTCAGTTTCTGTGCTTTTAAAAGAAAGGAACCAAATACCTACTTCCCAAATAGGCAATGTAGTGAAATACACAAGAGTTCAGACATCTGACACCTTCAGAAAATTATTTGATATTTATAAGACTTATTTTACTCATATATAAAATAGTAGCAAAATAGAGTATTCCACAGGGTTGTTGTAAGGATTACATACCATTAGGTGTGTAAAGTGCTTAGCCTTGTTCCTTACACAGAGTAAGCTTTCAGTACAGGTTAGCTATACCTAAGATTACATTAGGTAATATGTGGAACATGGAGTTCGAATTTTGGCTAGTAGATGCTCAAAAAATTATAGGTTGCTTTTACTTTTTCACGATCTTTAAGTAATTTAACTAATGAATAAAAACAAATGTGCCAATAAATCAATTCCCAAACCCCTACTTTTATCTTTAACTTCCTC
Source organism: Homo sapiens (assembly GCF_000001405.40). Lineage (NCBI taxonomy): Eukaryota > Metazoa > Chordata > Mammalia > Primates > Hominidae > Homo > Homo sapiens. Next base: position 38,216,242 of record NC_000011.10, on the reverse strand, counting down.
CATTTTCATTCTGAAAATACTTTGAGATAAAGGGCTAAAATTTATCTTGAGATTATTTGTCTTTAGAGAAAAGAGACACTTTAAACCTTTTTACGTTTTTAAGGAATGAAATGAGACTTAATATCTCAACATCACCATTTCCAAAGCCTTGAACATTCATTTTCAAAAGTATTTGAAGGAATCTGGCTGACTTAGGGAACAAAACAATGTCAGAATGTGTCTTAATTCTAGCTTTCTAATTTTATTAAAACCCAAAGTTCATTAGTGATTAAAAGCTGTTAATTTCACAGAATTATCTGGTAGTATCAGGAATAATCAAGACACAACTATCCACACCATAATAATTTCTTCCATTTTTGACCCAAGCTCTGATGGTTGGTTTTCCATAAAAATGAAAAATATTTTGCTGTATCAGGTAAACCAGGGGTGGAATGAAGATATATTTCTTAAACTGTCTCTGTCACAATCATAGGTAGCTTTAGAAGTGTTAAGGAATATAAATGATAATAAACAATTGCAGGCCACTAAAAACACTATAACAATTCTCACAAATACTAACAGAAATATTTTAAGAAAGAAGAAACAATCTCCTTTAAATGTAAACATTTACTCTAATGTATATAGTGTGAAGATATTTAAGCAAAAAATTGGTTCTCTACAAATATATGTGTATATTGTGAACATATTTAAGTAAAAAATTGAGTCTCTTAGAGAGTATTTTGTTTTTTTTATTATCTGTCTTAATATTTTTAAGATTTTATGATTTTTGCTAGTGCAGTTAATTTTTTCAAAATTATAATATAAGTAATTCTTGACCAGATAAATGAATTAAAACTACATTAGCCATTGTTATATTCTTTTTAATGGAGCTTAAAGTATAAATTAAAAATGTGTCTTGGTCTTCAGTATAGAAATTTTTAAAAAGTAAGCCTGCATTAGTATGTGTAATTTAGCTAAGGAAAATAGAAAAATAATTGGGTTTTGTTTACACAAACTGAATTTTAAAAAGTACTCCAAAAATCCATATCTCAAAGATACCTTAGTAATAGTGTTTTGTTCAAATGGAAAGTACAAATTATTATTATGATTTGCAAAATAGCATTTATTAAACACTATGTGTCATGTACCCTGCTACCCCAATTTTTTCATTATTTCCTTAAATTATCACAAGAATCTAATGAACTGATCAAATATATTATCACATCTATAAAATAATAAACTTATAAGAGCTTAAGTATCTAGTAATAGCAATGAAGATAGAAATTTGAACCCTGCTCTGTCTGATTATAAATCAGTCTTATAGTATCAGTTCTCTTACTAGCAAAACTGGAATAGTAGTAAGACTCATAGATCTGTGAATGTATATGAAGTGAGTGAATGTATATTTAGACAAAACATTGTATAAAAGCCCATGGTGAAGGGTCAGGCACAAAGTAAGCATTCCCCACTGGCTTCCCCCTGATTAAAAAAATATTACCCATCTGAGTCTTAAACTTATTATCTTTGGAGAGGGACTAATACATGCTTTGCTATGTTGAAATGAGGAGTACATGTCATAATGTATTATGTGAAAGTTCCCCATGATGTATAGTGTTTTTGTATTTATGCATGTGTAATGTATACCCACAATTTATGTAAAAGTCCTTTATTAAAGTTTTTACAGCTTTCAGTTTGTAATATACTCTAAAAATATTAACTACAAAGACAATTAATAATTCATGTTACTTATTGTTTTTCATAAATAGACATTAAACATCAGGCTTATATATAAGCTAGCTTTCTTGCTTTTCTTCAAATGGCACTTCTAGAATGCATTTTTAATAAAGAAGAAAATGATAGCTCCATTCTATGCTAGGTGTGAGCTGCACTACTAAGTGACTCTGAAACATGGGATATTTTTGCTTTGGCTTTTAAGTAGTAGACAGAGTTTTAAAATCTTTAGTATCAAAGAATAAATTTGAGTTTATTAGAAATATTATTATCAACCTGAATCCAAACCAATTAGATACCATTCAACATTGAATCTTTCAAAATATAAGGTTTGTGTATGTGTGTGTCACAAATATTGGATACTGGATCGACACAGTCAAATTAGGCTTACTTCTGGGCATGTAGGAGCTCATTCTACAGTCAGGTACTAGATGAATGAGAATATGGAGGGGTAAGTGCAATACATAAATATACAAGATATATACTCAATAGGGAAAAATCCACGTATTTATAGATTTTTGAATCTTTAGCAAAGACACTAATAAAATTAACGAATTGTTTGAAAATGCATCAGATAAACATTAGAATAATTCCTTTCTTAAGAATAATTAGGGATTGGTTTAGCATAAATTGCTGAGGGAATCCATTATAAAGCTGCTTTGTGCATTAAGTAGAATAACTTTTAAAAATATTAAGCAATGTTCTTGCTCTTAACTTAGAGTGAAATATTAAGCACAAAACTAAGAGAAACTTGAGTCTATTAGAATTCAGGCCATTTGGCTTTTGAGAATTTCTGCAATTATTCTCTAAGTAACAGTGACAACTTAAAGACTAATCACTACTTATATGTATTTCTTGACATTTTATGACATTATACATTAATGCCAAATTTTTCACTTTAAGTAAATTTTCTTTTTTTCACACATAAAAAGGACACAACACATAACTATATGTATTCATAAATTATCCAAACATGCACAGTTGTGAAACCTCAAAAGAGGTTAATGCATAAAACATTTTGAGGGCCTCAGACACCCCTGGTCTTCCCTCAATTACTATTCTTGCTTTCTATCCAAAAAATCCCCCAATACCCTAAAATTTAACAGTGAAGGTTAATTTGCCAGTTTTTAAAAACCTTCGTAAAAAAGGATTTTTTTTGTTGATGTTGTAGATGTTGATTTATTTTCTTTTATTTTTTCCAGATTCTTACATTTTTAATAGCTATATACATGATTATATATAATTCTTGACTTCCTGTGCTTAGTAATATAATGTAATATGAAATTACCCCATGTTTTTGCATATATCTAAGGTTCATTCATTTTTATGATTGTATCATGGACATTTATGCTTTCTTTATCTATATATATAAAATATGTATATATATTTGTCCTTTAGAAATACTATTTTCCTCTGAAATTCTTCTACAAGTCTCTTTTGAGTTATGCTTTTCTCTCAGGTACATAATAAAAAGTCAAATTATTGCATTATAAGTTATGTATATGTTCAAAAACAGAAGATAATTCCAAAAGATTCTACAAAGTTTTGATAGTCATTTTTGAGCATTTTCACTAGCTAGCACCTTGCAAGGACCAATAATCAGCCATAGCGAATGAAGGTACATATTTTAATTTTGAAACAGTTTTAAAACTAGTGCTCTGCATACATTCCTTGCACTAAGTGAAACTGAGTCTCACAAGACAAATGCAACAATAATGCAGCCTGATATTTCAAATCAATGGAGTCCTTCACACATTATCTGCAAAGTGTGTAACTTCCTAACTTGGTATAAGTTTGACTTAGATCCAACTCTTCTGGGTGTGTATTTTTCCTTTTGAATTAAATTAGCTACATCAGGAAATGCACATTTGCTAGAATCTACTTCTAGTTTCTCATTATGCATCCTTTTTTGTTTGTTTGCTCTCTGTTAATATCCAAGGTAATTTTCACAGACATGGATGCTTTTCTTCCATCTATAATTACTTCTCCTATCTTGGGCATGCAGATTACTAAATACCCCATTGTCTGAGATTATCTACCATAGATACTGTCAAGTTTTACTCCTGAGAGAAGTACAATCTGAAACGACTTTTCTTTGTTTCTCAAACATACGCTGGCTGCACATTGATACCAATTAAAAAGATATCCATATACCTATAGAAAGCAAAGTATAGGATCATTTCTCTATTTTTCATCACTCATCACATGGAAGTCAAGGTAAGGTTCATTTATTTTAGGAGCTTTTCCACTTTCAATGATCAAAGTTCTGAGTGTTTTCTCTTTCTTCTGTTAACCTTAATAGAAACACAGCAAGGCTCTCAAGAAGAAAATGGTATTTCTTTGGGAACAAGGCATTGCATTGAAATATGTGTGCCTTAGTAAACTATTAGTTTACTAAGTATTCATGGAGGTAATAAAAGACAAAGGATTTTATAGAGAAAATGAGGAGGATTACATAATTGTTCTGAAATAATTATTCTTGATTACAAGAATCAATAACAAGGGTAACACTACTCTGACACTGTGCAGGCAACTACTACAAAAATGTCCTTGCAGAAATAGTTTTTGTGTAAGGTGGTGGTAGCCTTTTTCAAGAGTGTGGTTTTGGAGAATCTTTTGTGATACTTTTCATTGTCAGACATTAATGCATGAGTAATCCTCTCTTTATAGCTTTCCCTAGCTTTATTTGTCAGAGTTTTGCTTTTGTGTTTCTCTAACACATGTGACTCCATTTTGATTTTGACAGCTTTAACACTTGTTTATATCACTTAATTTTTCTGGATCTTTCAATCATTTTACCATATCATTTTTACCAACTCATATATCTAAGAGTTTCCAATATGAATTTAGGAATAAACTCAGAAGGCTTCTACCAGAATTTCAGGTTTTCTATGTTTACATCTAATTTATTGTGGTTGTGTTCTTCTCATGCTTCTAATGTCTGGTGGTCTTTGCTCTCTATAGAAGCTGGGATAGTAGCAACAAAATCTGTCTACCAATGCCTGTCAAAACATGAGTCACCTCTTTTCTTCTTGTCTTTGTTTTTATATTATTCTTGAAGTTTTATTTAAATCATTTTTTGTCTTTGATTTGAGACAATAAACTTTTTTGTTCAATTATTAGATATTTCTGCAATTCCTGAATTTTCCTTTCTCTCTTTCTCTTTCTCTTTCTTTTCTTTTCTTTTCTTTTCTTTTCTTTTCTTTTCTTTTCTTTTCTTTTCTTTCTTTTTTTTGAGATGAAGTCTTGCTCTGTCACCCAGGCTGGAGTGCAGTAGTACGATCTCAGCTCACTGCAACCTCTGACTCGTGGGTTCAAGCCATTCTCCTGCCTCAGCCTCCCCAGTAGCTGGGATTACAGGCACTCACCACCACGCCCAGCTAATTTTGTATTTTTTTAGTAGAGACAGGGTTTCACCATGTTGGCCAGGCTGGTCTCAAACTCCTGACCTTGTGATCCGCTCACCTCGGCCTCCTAAAGTGCTGGGATTACAGGCTTGAGCCACTGTGCCTGGCCGAATCTTCCTTTTTTAACCATCACAAACCTCAATTGTTGAAGACTTGCCACCACTAACTTTCTGTAACACTCAAAGTGAGCACATGGGGTACCTATAAGAAACAGCACAAAGTCTCTATTAAAATGTAATTTTAAGTCATCCCATGACATGCATGCACCTGTGCAATAATCATTTTTATCTTTCTTCTACTTTTCTTTCATTCTGGGAGTACCTCTTTTTACTGTAACCTAAACTTGAATCTACTGCTGACAGAAGAGTTTAAGAAATGTAATTTCTATGTTTCCAGCAACTGTGATTCTTATGAGTGCAGAAAAGGAACCAGGGTTTATGGAGAACAAAAGAGCAGAGTTATCTCCTCCCATAATAATCTATAGTGGTCCTTATAGCTGCAGTTAACTTTTGAACACAACAAGAACAATATTATGCTTTCATCTAACCATGTGTAGCTGTGTCTTGTACTTGGATGTGTTCACCCTGTCCACACAAAACTAAACATAAGGTTTGATAAGTCACTATATCTGTCTTTTTATGCTAATTTATTTTTAATTCACATAATAGTTCCCTTCATACATACTTAAGTAAATATTCTCAAACTTCATTTTGTTTAGTAGAGTTTAGCTAGAAGATCAGTGCTTCCTCATAGAATAATTGTATGTGTGTGTGCATTTCTCTCTATATATAAACAAAATTTTCATCTTGAGGGCAATGAGGAAAGCTGATGTCTGACTCTAGCTGAGTCTCGAGTTGTAAGTGGATCTTCCACAGAACAGTAGCCTCTTGAAAACATTCTGGCTCTAATAAAAACATTATGGTCTCCTTAAACATATAGCTTAAGCTGAGTGTTGTGGCTCAAGCCTGTATCCCAGGACTTTGGAGGTCAATGCAGGCAGATCACCTGAAGTCAGGAGTTTGAGAACAGCCTGGCCAACAAGGTGAAACCTTGTCTCTACTAAAAATACAAAAGTTAGCTGGGTGTGGTGGCAGGCACTTGTAATCCCAGCTACTTGGGAGGCTGAGGCAGGGGAATAGCTTGAACCTGGGAGGCAGAAGTTGCAGTGAGCCAACGTCGCACCACTGCACTCCAGCCTGGATGACAGAGTGAGAGATTCCATCTCAAAAAAAAAAAAAAAAAAAGTAAACATATAGCTCAAAGATATATGAAAAGGCTGAGAAGCTAGCAAGCGAGTCTCAGAGAATTTGTGATTTATAATTATTCATTTAACTACATTCACTCAAATATCCTCACTACAATGTCCTGGATTCCACTCTTACCATTTAATACCCTAAATTCCACAGGTCATGCTTAATAAAGTAGTGATTTCAACTTATATTTTAATTCTGACATCAAAAGAAGTCTTTGTTTCTGGTTTACAGATAAATTAGCATTGTTTCATAATATATAAAAGATTTTTTAAGAGCAGTATTTTATGCTTGTTGTTTCTCTAATGGACATTGAATCAAGATTTTAAGCTTTGAATTTGTTGTTATTTTATATCTTTACCATCTCAGTGAAATTAAAGACAACCATTCAGGCTACTATCATTTAGCCACATTTCAACATCTTGGTCTCCCAAACCTTGGTGCTTAATAGTTATACCATTCTATACAACTGTATGTTATAAGTTATTGCATATCTATGGTATCATTGACTACTAATATCACATATACCTACTGATCATAAAACTAATGTCAGACTTTAATCATTTTTATTTCCTGAAATCATTCCTAGCAGCAAATCTAATACAAATGTAGTTAGTAAGACAAAAGTTGTTCGAATAATTCTAGCAAGTAATTTAACAGAGTGAATGAGAAACTGAGGTGGCCTTTTCTCCTAGAAATTCCCAGGTCAGGGTTGGAAATCTCCAGCCAAAATTGCATCATACTGCTAAACGATTTGAAGTGTAGGCCCTAGGAGACTACTGAGGGGCTCCTATGGCTATCATTAATATTATAGCCTTGAAATGTCTCATGGTAAATTACAGTGAATCATGATGCCAAAGTATTTCAACTAAAAATAATATTTTGAAAAATGGTGCCAAGACAACACTTAAAAAAGTTCCCTTTTATGTCACTATACACTTGGGAAATAATACAAAATGGACCATACATCTAAACATAAAAGGTAAAGCAAAACTATTTCTCCATTTATAACTTTGATATAGGCAAAACTGGCTTAGATAAAACAACAAGCATAAAAATAATTGAAATAATAATTTGTACTTCATTAAAATAAAGCCCTGGTCTTTACAAGATGTGATGAATAAAATGTTATTAAAATAAAATGTTATTAATAAAATGCTGTTATAATATTCAAATCACATTCATATGCCATGCGATAAACATATGACAGATGTATCTATAATATATAAAAATAACTAAATAATAATAACAATAAAAAGTCATAGCATTTGAAAATATATTAATATTTTAAGAGGTCATAAAAAGATGCTCTACATTAATCATCAGGTAAATGATAATTAAATCTCCAAGAAATAAGATGACCAACATAAAATTAAAGATAAAAAGTTGTCAATATTAACTTTAGGCAACAATGTTGAGCAGCTAGAATTTTTATCCAATGCTAGTGGGAATATAAAATTGTAGAATCATGTTGATTCAAAGTTTACTAGTTTCCTTTAAGTGTAATGTATATTTATTATGGGATTCAGCAATTTTACTCCTGTGTATATGCCCAAGAGAAAAGAAAAAAATATATCTACAAAAGGACTTGCTTACAAATGTTTGAAGTGACATTATTCTTAATAGATCTGAACTGGAAATACCTAATCATTATCAGAAACAGAATGGATAAACAAATCATTGTACATTTGTACAAAGAAATACGACTTGTCAATGAAAAGAATAAACTAATAATACAGACAAGAATTTGCTTAAGAGAAGTGAGACCCAAATAGAATATAATTGTATTTGTGTGAAATGTGGTATAAGGCAAAACGAATCTACGTCAATAGAAATTAAAACACTGGTTTTCTATCTGGTAGAGACTAAGGGAATTTACACATGCAGGCTTATTCTGAGGCAATGGCTACGTTCTATTTCTTGATTCGTGGGATGATTACTTCTGGTAATAATTATCAAAACTGTATTAAACTATATACTTAAAATGAGTGCATTTTATTTTATGTAGATAATCCCTTAAGTTGATTTCAATAGTGAAACATAGCACTTCTGTGTAAAAAAAATAGTTGTATAGTAATTACAAGACCCATGCTGGAGGATTGTGAATTCTGTGAACTGTATTAACACTTAAATCTCAATACTAGTACTAGCATGATTAGCGTTTTGCCAATCAATTTCAAAAAGAAATAGTTAAGTATAGTTAAAAACAATTCACATATATACTTCAAATATCTTTTTAGTTGAAATTTATAAAGAATCTGTCATTAACCAGTCTTTTTTTATTGAAGGCAAGTCGTTTTGATTTCCACTGCACGTGGTTCTGCTAATTAGAGTTTTGCATCACTTTTCTCACATGATATATATTTTAATGTGTCATAAGATAATTAGTTTGAATTTTTTTCAAGTGGTAGTAAGAACTTAAAGATATTAAAAAATGAGGACAGATTTTTTGAGATGTTTGCAATATTTCCCTCTAGTAATTTACATTTATTTCACTCATATCTAATTTATAAATTTTTAAAGATGCTCTTTAATTTTAACTTAATTTTCATATAAACTCGGAAATGAACATTCTCTCCATTAATTCTACAATGTGAATTATGTTTTATTAATTACTTCATTATAATAATGAGAAAAATTGACATTAACTGGTTTAGAAAATAGTAAAGATACTTTTTGGAGGGAACAAACATATATAAACAAGCTTAAAACAGTTTTCACACATTGTGGTCTCAAGACCGGTTATAGTCCATAGTCTTACTGAAGATCCCAAACATCTTTTTGCATTTGTTTGTATCTACCACTTATCCTTATTAGAAATTAAAACTAAAAAACTTAAGGTACTTATTTATTTAAATAATAACAAACTATTAATGGTCAACGTAAGTAACATATTATGTAAAAGCTATATTTTTCTAAAGAACTAGTGAGAAAAGAGACTTTTTTTGGCAAATCTCTTTAACAATGTATTTGTTATAACAGAAGACTGGATTTTCATATTTGCTGATGCATGCAATCTGTTGTGATGTGCTACTTAGTTGAGATATATTTTTAAAAGTGTCACATACATATATATAGTTGGAAATGGGAGTAGTATTTTAAATTCCTGTTCATATAACGTTGGATATTTATTTATGATTCTATAAAGAAACACACAAAGGAGTAGGTTACTAAAGGTTAGTTTCAATGTGGAATCTGAGAGCATGTCCATGATACTGGCTTATACTTTTCTTTATTTGTTGTGTCCTTGTCTTGTTTGGGCATCAGGCTAATGCTAGCCTTGAATGAGTTTGGAAGTACTCATTTTTAAAATTATTTTTGAGGAGTTTGAGTAGAACTGGTATTAGTTCTTTAAATATTTGCTATAATTCAGTGGTGAAGCCATTAGACCCTGAGCTATTGCTTGATGAAAGACTTCTTATTATGGCTTATTTTTCATTACTCATTTTTTTTTTTTGAGATGGATTCTTGCTCTATTGCCCAGGCTGGAGTGCAGTGGCATGATCTCGGCTCACTGCAACCTCCACCTCCCAGGTTTAAGCAATTCTCCCACCTCAGCTTCCTGATTAGCTGGGATTATAGGCACATGCCACCATGCTGGCTAATTTTTGTATTTTTAGTAGAGATAGAGTTTCACCATGTTAGCCAGGCTGTTCTTGAAAACTCCTGACCTCAAGTGATCTGCCTGCCTTGGCCTCCCAAAGTGTTGGGATTACAGGCATGAGCCACCACACCTGGCCTTCATTATCCATTATTGGGTGTTTTTTTGTTTGTTTTCAGTTTTTTTCCCCCCTCATAGCTTGTATGTGTCCAAGAATCCAAGAATTTATCCATTTCTTCTTGCTTGTCCAATTCATTGGCATATAGTTGTTCATAAAATTCTCTAATGATTTTTTTTTTGGCATTTCTGTGGTCTTGTTTTTTTTCTGATTCTGATTTTATTTTTGTCTTCTTTCTATTTTTCTTACATAGTCTAACTAAAGAGTTTTTGATTTTGTTCATCTTTTCAAAAAACAAACTTATTATCTTTTTTATTTTTTATTTTTCTTATTTTACTTTAAGTTCTGGTATACAAGTACACAACGTGCAGATTTGTTATATAGGTATACATGTGCCATGGTGTTTTGCTGCGCTTATCAACCCATCATCTAGGTTTTAAACCCGGATACATTAGCTATTTGTCCTATAGTTGGGTCTTTTTTTATTATTATACTTTAAGTTCTAGGGTACGTGTGCACAGCATGCAGGTTTGATACATAGGTATACATGTGCCACGTTGGCTTGCTGCAACCATCAACTCATCATTTACATTAGGTATTTCTCTTAATGCTATCCCTCCCCCAGCCTCCCAACCCCCACATCCATTCAACCACTCTGTGTCTTTTAATTAGAGAATTTAGCCTATTTACATTCAGTATTATTATTGATAAGTAAGGAGTTATTACTATCATTTTGTTGCTGGCTTTCTTGTTGTTTTGTGTCCCCTCTATTCTTCTTCTTCTTTTTTTTTTTCTTTTGTCATCCTTGGTGGTTAAGTGAGTTTTTTCTGGTACTATGCTTTAATTTGTTGGTTGCTCTCCCTCCCCTCGCCCCCGAAACCCGACTGGCCCCTGAGTGTATTACCTTCTATGTGTCCATGTGTTCTCATTGTTCAACTCCCACTTATGTGTGAGAACATGTGGTGTTTGGTTTTCTGTTCCTCTGTTAGTTTGCTGAGGATGATGGCTTCCAGCTCCATCCATGTCCCTGAAAATGACATGATCTCATTCCTTTTTCTGGCAGCATAGTGTTTTATGGTGTATAGGTACCACATTTTCTTTATCCAGTCAATCATTAATGGGCATTTAGGTTGGTTCCCTGTCTTTGCTACTGTAAATAGTGCTGCAATAAACATATGTGTACATGCATCTTTATAGTAGAACAATTTATATTCCTTTGGGTATATACCCAGTAATGGGATTGCTGGGTCAACTGGTATATCTTGTTCTAGTTCCTTGAGGAATGGCCACACAGACTTACAGAATGGTTGAACTCATTTACATTCCTACCAACAATGTAAAAGTGTTCCCATTTCTCCACAGCCTCACCAGCATCTATTGTTTATTGACTTTTTAATAATCGCCATCCTGACTGACATGAGATGGTACCTCATTGTAGTTTGGATTTGCATTTATCTAATGACCATTGATGATGAGCTTTTTTTCATACATTTGTTGACTACATAAATGTCTTCTTTTGAGAAGTGTCTGTTCATATATTTAGCCCACTTATTGATGGGTTTTTTTTCTTGTACATTTGTTAATGTTCCTTGTAGATTCTGGATATTAGCCCTTTGTCAGATGGATATATTGCAAAATTTTCTCTCATTCTGTAGGTTGCCTGTCCACTCTGATGATAGTTTTTATATTGCTTTTTTAGTCCTAAATTTTTTATTTTTGCTCTGATTATTGTTATTTTTTCCTTCCACTAACTTTGAGTTTGATTTATTCTTGCCTTTCTAGTTCATTGAGGTATATCACTAGGTTGTGTGTTTAAATCTTTCAGCTTTTTTGATGTAGGTGTTTATTGCTCTAAACTTCCTTGCAAGTACTGCTTTTCTGTATCTGATAGATTTTTGTATCTTTTATTTTCATTTCCATTTGTTTCAAGAAATTTTTAAATTTTCTTTTTAATTAATTCATTGACCAATTTGTCATTCAAAAGTATGTTAATTTCTACGTGTTTGTGTCGTTTCTAAGGTTCTCTTGCTATTGGTTTCTAGCTTTATTCCATCATGATCTGAAAAATATTTTAAATGATTTCTACTCTTTGAATTTGTTGAGGCTTGCCTCGTGACCTAAGATATGATCTATTCAGGAGAATGTTTCATGTGCTGATGAAAAGAATGTGTTTTGTGTATCGGTTGGATTAAATATTCTGTAGATGTCAGTTAGGCCTATTTGGTCTAGTGTATAATTTAATTCAATGTTTCTTTCTTGATTTTTTTGTCTACCCGATCTGTCCATTCCTGAGTGTGAGGTGATGAACGCTCCTGCTATTATTGTTTCAGTCTATCTCTCCCTTTAGATTTATTATTTTGTTTTATATACATGGGTGCTCTAGTGTGTAGTGCATAGATTTTTATAATTCTTACATCTTTTGCTATGTAATCATTTTAGCATTATATAATGATCTTTGTCTCTTTTTATAGTCTCTGACAAGTAGTCTATTTTATCTGGTATATGTGTAGCTACTCTTGTTTTTTTCTGTTTTCATTTGTATGAAATACATTTTTTTCATCTCTTCACTTTCAGTCTATGTCTATCTTTATAGGTAAGATGGGATTTTCATAGGGAGCATATAGTTGGGTATTTTTTTTTATTATACTTTAAGTTCTAGGGTACATGTGAACAACATGCAGGTTTGACATAGGTATACATGTGCCATGTTGTTTTGCTGCACCCATCAACTCATCATTTACATTAGGTATTTCTCCTAATGCTTTCCCTCCCCCAGCCTCCCACCCCCGCCCCCCCGCATCCATTCAACCACTCTGTGTCTTTTAATTAGAGAATTTAGCTTATTTACATGCAGTATTATTATTGATAAGTAAGGAGTTATTACTGTCATTTTGTTGCTGGCTTTCTCATTGTTTTGTATCCCCTCTATTCTTCTTCTTTTTTTTTTTCTTTTGTCATCCTTGGTGGTTAAGTGATTTTTTTCTGGTACTATGCTTTAATTTGTTGGTTTTTATTTTTAGTGTATCTATTTCAGGTTTTGAATTGTGGTTACTACAAGGTTTACAAAAAACATAGACATAAAACATAACTTTAAATAGATAAAAACTTAGATCACAGAAAGAGTAAACAAAAACAAACAATGTCTATACTTTATCTTTAGTCTCCCCATTTTGATGTTTGTTTATCTCAATTTACATGTTTTGTGTTGCCTGTCTGTTAACAGAGTGCTATAGCTATTGTCGTTATTGATAGACTTGTTTGGGCTTCATGGTAGAGTTTAAGTGGATTGTACACCACAGTTACAGTACGTGAATATTCTGGAGTTGTCTTTGTACTTAATTTTACCAGTGGGTTTTATATCTTCATTTTTTTTTCCTGCACATTAGTGATTTCTTTTCTGATTGAATAATTCACTTTAGCATTTTTGGTAAGACCAGACCTGGTGGTTATAAATTCTCTTAGGTTTGTTTGTTTCAGGAAGACTTTACCTCTCATTCATAATAAAAGACTAACTTGGTTGAATAAAGTATTCTTAAATATCAGTTTCTCTTTTTTTTTCAGCATTTAGAAAATTTGGTCCCACTCCTTTCTGGTCTGTATGGTTTCCATTGAGAAGTCTGTTGCCAGATGAGTTGGAGTTCCTTTATATGTTATTTGCATTTTTTTTTTAATCTTGCTGTTTTAGGATCCTCTCTTTGCCTTTGACCTTTGAGAGTTGGATTACCAAATGCCTTAAGGTTCTATATTTAGCAAACCTGTTTGGCGTTCTCTTACCTTCTTGTACCTAGACATTCATGTTATTCTCGAGTTTTGGAAAGTATTCTGTTATTATTTCTTTTAATAAGCTCTCTACTCCTTGCTCTTGCTCAATTCCCCCTTTAACATCAATAATCCTTAGATTTGGTCTTTTGAGGTATGTTTATTAGGTATCTCCATTTCTTTTTATTCTTTTTTTCCTTTTTTCTCTTCTGATTGTATAATTTCAAATAGCTTATCTCTGAGCTCACTGATTTTTTATTTTTCTCTGCTTGGCCCATCTGCTGTTTTAAACCTCCAGTGAATTTTTCAGTGTAGCAAATGTATTTCTCAGTTTTAAATTTCTGGGTTTTTGTTTTCTTTAATCATTTTGTTAAATTTCTCTGATAAATTTCTGAATTGTTTTTCTGTGTTATCCTTGGAGATCACTGATTTTCCCTAAAACTTTTATTTGGAATTATTGGTCAGAGATCTCACATATTGCCATCTCATTGAGGTCAGTTACTGGTACCTTGCTTTGTCTGTTTCTGGTGGTCATAGTTCCCTGATAGCTGTTGTTTCTTGTAAATGTATTGTACATCAACGTCTTTGCTTTGAAGATTTATTTATTTATTCCAGTATTCTCTATCTGGCTTGTTTTGGTTTTTGTTGGTTATATTTGCTTAGAGATTCTTTATAATTTACCTGTGAAATTTCTTAATTTTTTCCTAGGTCACTGCCTACTTTTTGGCACCAGATGTTACCTAAAGCTCAGGATTGCCTCAGCTCTAGCAAATCATAAGTGCTTCCTGGCAAGAATAGGGGAGGTCACAAATGGGATATCCTGGGAGCATAAAAAGGCCAGCTAGGGGTTTGAGCCCAGGACACTTACAGAATGTACCTCCTACAGCATGATGCTGCTGAATATGAATAGAAATCCTATTCTGATTTGTGATCTCCTTTGGCCAAGTTACAGAGCAGGGTTTCCAGAGATGGGGATGATGTTACCACCTTTCCCCTTTCTCTCTGGCTGTCCTCAAAGATTTGTCTCCCTGGCCGGGCGCGGTGGCTCACGCCTGTAATCCCAGCATTTTGGGGGGCCGAGGCGGGCAGATCACGAGGTCAGGAGATCGAGACCATCCTGGCTAACAAGGTGAAACCCCGTCTCTACTAAAAATACAAAAAATTAGCTGGGCGTGGTGGCGGGCGCCTGTAGTCCCAGCTACTGGGGAGGCTGAGGCAGGAGAATGACGTGTACCTGGGAGGCGGAGCTTGCAGTGAGCCGAGACTGGGCCACTTTACTCCAGCCTGGGAGACAGAGCAAGACTCTGTCTCAAAAAAACAAACAAACAAAAAGATTTGTCTCCCTTCAGGTACTCACAATACTTCTCATGGATTGAGGCATGAAAAGGTCTCCTGATGAAGGACTCAAGTTGGTGGAGAAGCTGATCGTCCACCTCGATCTCACTTTTTCCAGTGTAGAAATGGTAAGTTGGGGGAAATTTTTTGCACTCTTGGTGCTAGACAGATTGGGGGGATAGTTGTTGCATATAGGAAATTAAATTATCTTACTGTCTGCTCAGAGTTTTTAAGCTTTCTGTGGCGCTGGGAAATGACTTATCCTCATCTTTGAGTTCTGGAATATTGCCGGTGACAATCTCAGTGCCTTACATTTTTTTGGTTTTCTGTGGGTAGCAGGGAAGCCAGCTGCCATTTTGGAACTGAAAGTCTCCTCTGCTATGATACTTTCTATGACACCAACAATTTTACCACATTTGCTTTTGCAAAATCAGTGTAAATTTCAACAGAGTGAACAAAGTCAATTAATGTTTTATCATTACTAAAACAATAGTTTGACCTTGTAGATACTCTAAAAGCATATATTTTAATAATATATTAATAAGAGTATCCACAGCTTCCTGGACTACAATTTGAGAAGCATTGCAGTAAAGTGTAGCCCTTGCATAACTTGCCATGAGTGTGCAGTATGCTACAAGCATTAGTCAGTTTCTTTTCTTTCTTTTTTTTTTTTTTTTGAGATGGAGTCTCCCCCCGTCCCCCAGGCTGGAGTGCAATGGCACCATCTTGGCTCACTGTAACCTCTACCTCCTGGGTTCAAGCCATTCTTCTGCCTCAGCCTCCTGAGTAGCTGGGATTACAGGTGCCCACCACCACACCTGGCTAATTTTTGTATTTTTGGTAGCAACAGAGTTTTGCCATTTTAACCAGGCTGGTCTCGAACTCCTGACCTCAGATAATCCACCTGCCTCAGGCTCCCAAAGTGCTGGGATTACAGGCCTAAGCCACGGGGCCCAGCCAGTCAGTTTCTTTTCACAGAGGGGAGCTCTTATTTTTCCAGCTAGCTGGATAGTTTGATTAAAAAGACCTCGGTCATTTAAATTAGTGACATAGAAAATTATATAATTTTGTTGCCAAATTCTTTGTATTAGTTTTCTGTAGCATTTGTATAACATTTTAAAAAGGTGTATATTATTAGCCCCATTTTCTAGATTAATAAATTGAGACTATTATTTTTTGAACATAATAATAGGCTTTTTTTCATAAGACTAGTGTTTTGTTAAAAAGATTTAGTCTCATATGGGAATTGGAATTGAACAAAAATATTGTCTTAGGTCGATTTTCACTGAGAAATATGTTTTTATTTTTAAGCTCATAAACTCATACTGATCAACATCAATTACAGGACAATATCTGAGACCTCAGTTCAAAAAAACAAGTAACTGTATTTAACTGAAGAAGGTCACTGTTAATCCTAGTCAATAAAGTAACTAATAGATAATCCCTTTTTAAAGATACCAGCTCAAGTTCAGTCTTTAAAATGGCATTTTCTTCTGACAATATGTAAACACTAAAGAAGAAAACTTTTAAAAAATATTTTTCTTTAGTTTTATATTTAAAATAACCAATTCTGTTATTTAAAGTATTTTAATGTTGTTTTCTCCAATACAATACATTACTTCATTAATCTCATTGTTTAGTATTCTAAACCAATATTCTTTTATTAGGTTTGTTTGTTTGCTGTGGCTTCTGGTCTGGGTGGAAAATTAGTTTTTGAACAAATTCAATATATGTGGAAAGAAATTAAATGTCCTGAATAACCATTGTGTTGTTCTTGCAGAATTTTATTTTTCTATGGGCAAACTTTTAAAGTTTTCAGTATCTTAAGCTTATGGAGTTGAATTACAGCCTCTTCTTCTCGAAAGTGTTACTTCATAGAGATATGTGTTCCTTAATTAGTTAGAATTTTGGCTTTTTGTTATGTCTGGTGGTATATTCTGTGATACAATGTAGGATGGGATGCTGAAGTTTTGTTCTTAAAGAGAAAAACCTTTGCATTATCCTCAGGATGCCTAAACAATTACCACCCCCTAAATCAGTCAACTAATTAATCAGTCCTATTACCAAAATGGCCAACCTGCTCATCTGACCATCTCAGGTTGTAATTGTGTCTTGGCAATACACAGCAGCAGCTCCCATACTTTGTATATGGAGCCACCCTTGAATGAAAGTGTATTCGGCATCCTGGTAATCCTGTGAACCTGTGTTCCTAAAATCAAATAACTCCCCACAACTTTAGTGTCAGCAAATTTTTCTTTACTATGCTGAAAGTAATATATCTTCAATTGTATAAATGAAGCCAGATAGCTTAAAAGTGTTTTCAGCTGATAGTCTTGGTTATCTGAAGGGCCATTCTTAACATCTTTCAAGTCTGTCTAGGCCTTTTCTTACCTCTGTCTTTTAGACTTTTACATAACAATCTGTTTTTTGCTGAGGGGGTGAAGGTTGTTTGTTTTTGAGGACAAAGAATGTACCTTCACCTCTGTCTGTTCATCTTTCTGTTAAACAATACAACTATACCCTTCATTGAGGCATTGAAAACCACACCCTACAGGCAGATGGGCTAAGATTTCACCATGGACCC
Organism: Homo sapiens; assembly: GCF_000001405.40. Taxonomy (NCBI): domain Eukaryota; kingdom Metazoa; phylum Chordata; class Mammalia; order Primates; family Hominidae; genus Homo; species Homo sapiens. Next base: position 38,198,478 of record NC_000011.10, on the reverse strand, counting down.
AGAGGAAAATCCTGTCCTTCAAGTGAGAGAAACCAAGTCACAAAATAGCAGCCACAAATTCCACAAGGAATTTGGCTTGATAATACACTGTGTGCATTGATAATGTACAGTAGCCATTGAAGATACACTGACCAGGTCCAAAATAAAAAGGTAAAACCTGCAGAAACTTGACTGCCGTCTATTGCAATGCTTTTAATCTGCAATAACATCTTCATCAAAATTCAGTGACGATTCTTAATATTTTACCAGGAAATTACATTAATGAACAGGTGAATTTTTCAATCAATCAGAAATTGTAATCCTGCCGTCAATTTCTTTTCACTTCCCTTGGATTCGTACCACTTTGTTCTTCTTGAGGTTAAATTTTTCTGTTTATTTAAAAAAATTGTTTCATTCATTTATCTGTTACCTTAAAAATTTCTCAGACACTAAAACTTGTGGCTATAAAAACAAGAAAAATGAGACACCTGTCTTCAAAGAGTTTACATTTAATCAGACAATCCATTGACAGTGTAAGTGCTATGTAAAGTTGCAATTGAGATAAATAGCATCTTTTTTTTTCTCAGAAGAAATGACATTTGAATTTTATTTTATTGTATTATTATTATACTTTAAGTTTTAGGGTACATGTGCACAATGTGCAGGTTAGTTACATATGTATACATGTGCCATGCTGGTGTGCTGCACCCAGTAACTCGTCATTTAGCATTAGGTATTATCTCCTAAAGCTATCCCTCCCCGCTCTCCCCACCCCACAACAGTCCCCTAAGTGTGATGTTCCCCTTCCTGTGTCCATGTGTTCTCATTGTTCAATTCCCACCTATGAGTGAGAACATGCGGTGTTTGGTTTTTTGTTCTTGCAATAGTTTACTGAGAATGATGATTTCCAATTTCATCCATGTCCCTACAAAGGACATGAACTCATCATTTTTTATGGCTGCATAGTATTCCATGGTGTATATGTGCCACATTTTCTTAATCCAGTCTATCATTGTTGGACATCTGGGTTGAAACCAAGTCTTTGCTATTGTGAATAGTGCCTCAATAAACATATGTGTGCATGTGTCTTAGCAGCATGATTTATAGTCCTTTGGGTATACACCGAGTAATGGGATGGCTGGGTCAAATGGTATTTCTAGTTCTAGATCCCTGAAGAATCGCCACACTGACTTCCACAATGGTTGAACTAGTTTACAGTCCCACCAACAGTGTAAAAGTGGTCCTATTTCTCCACATCCTCTCCAGCACCTGTTCTTTCCTGTCTTTTTAATGATTGCCATTCTAACTGGTGTGAGATGGTATCTCATTGTGGTTTTGATTTGCATTTCTCTGATGGCCAGTGATGGTGAGCATTTTTTCATGTGTTTTTTGGCTGCATAAATGTCTTCTTTTGAGAAGTGTCTGTTCATGTCCTTTGCCCACTTTTTGATGGGGTTGTTTTTTTCTTGTAAATTTGTTTGAGTTCATTGTAGATTCTGGATATTAGCCCTTTGTCAAATGAGTAGGTTGTGAAAATTTTCTCCCATGTTGTAGGTTGCCTGTTCACTCTGATGGTAGTTTCCTTTGCTGTGCAGAAGCTCTTTAATTTAATTAGATCCCGTTTGTCAATTTTGGCTTTTGTTGCCATTGCTTTTGGTGTCTTAGAGATGAAGTCCTTGCCCATGCCTATGTCCTGAATGGTAATGCCTAGGTTTTCTTCTAGGGTTTTTATGGTTTTAGGTCTAACGTTTAAGTCTTTAATCCATCTTGAATTGATTTTTGTATAAGGTGTAAGGAAGGGATCCAGTTTCAGCTTTCTACATATGGGTAGCCAGTTTTCCCAGCACCATTTATTAAATAGGCAATCCTTTCCCCATTGCTTGTTTTTCTCAGGTTTCTCAAAGATCAGATAGTTATACATATGCGGTGTTATTTCTGAGGGCTTTGTTCTGTTCCATTGATCTATATCTCTGTTTTGGTACCAGTGCCATGCTTATTTGGTTACTGTAGCCTTGTAGTATAGTTTGAAGTCAGGTAGCGTGATGCCTCCAGCTTTGTTCTTTTGGCTTAGGATTGACTTGGCGATGCAGGCTCTTTTTTGGTTCCATATGAACTTTAAAGTAGTTTTTTCCAATTCTGTGAAGAAAGTCATTGGTAGCTTGATGGGGATGGCATTGAATCTATAAATTACCTTGGGCAGTATGGCCATTTTCATGATATTGATTCTTCCTACCCATGAGCATGGAATGTTCTTCCATTTGTTTGTATCCTCTTTTATTTCATTGAGCAGTGGTTTGTAGTTCTCCTTGAAGAGGTCCTTCACGTCCCTTGTAATTTGGATTCCTAGGTATTTTATTCTGTTTGAAGCAATTGTGAATGGGAGTTCGCTCATGATTTGGCTCTCTGTTTGTCTGTTATTGGTGTATAAGAATGCTTGTGATTTTTGTACATTGATTTTGTATCCTGAGACTTTGCTGAAGTTGCTTATCAGCTTAAGGAGATTTTGGGCTGAGACGATGGGGTTTTCTAGATATACAATCATGTCATCTGCAAACAAGGATAATTTGACTTCCTCTTTTCCTAATTGAATACCCTTTATTTCCTTCTCCTGCCTAATTGCCCTGGCCAGAACTTCCAACACTATGTTGAATAGGAGTGGTGAGAGAGGACATCCCTGTCTTGTGCCAGTTTTCAAAGGGAATGCTTCCAGTTTTTGCCCATTCAGTATGATATTGGCTGTGGGTTTGTCATAGATAGCTCTTATTGAGATACGTCCCATCAATACCTAATTTATTGAGAGTTTTTAGCACGAAGAGTTGGTGAATTTTGTCAAAGGCCTTTTCTGCATCTATTGAGATAATCATGTGGTTTTTGTCTTTGGTTCTGTTTATATGCTGGATTACATTTATTGATTTGCATATATTGAACCAGCCTTGCATCCCAGGGATGAAGCCCACTTGATCATGGTGAATAAGCTTTTTGATGTGCTGCTGGATTCGGTTTGCCAGTATTTTATTGAGGATTTTTGCATCAATGTTCATCAAGGATACTGGTCTAAAATTCTCTTTTTTGGTTGTGTCTCTGCCCAGCTTTGGTATCAGGATGATGCTGGCCTCATAAAATGAGTTAGGGAGGATTCCCTCTTTTTCTATTGATTGGAATAGTTTCAGAAGGAATGGTACCAGTTCCTCCTTGTACCTCTGGTAGAATTCGGCTGTGAATCTATCTGGTCCTGGATTCTTTTTGGTTGGTAAGCTATTGATTATTGCCACAATTTCAGAGCCTGTAATTGGTCTATTCAGAGGTTCAACTTCTGCCTGGTTTAGTCTTGGGTGAGTGTATGTATCGAGGAATGTATCCATTTCTTCTAGATTTTCTAGTTTATTTGCGTAGAGGTGTTTATAGTATTCTCTGATGGTAGTTTGTATTTCTGTAGGATCGGTGGTGATATCCCCTTTATCATTTTTTATTGTTTCTATTTGATTCTTCTCTCTTTTCTTCTTTATTTTTCTTGCTAGCGGTCTATCAATTTTGTTGATCCTTTCAAAAAACCAGCTCCTGGATTCATTAATTTTTTGAAGGGTTTTTCGTGTCTCTATTTCCTTCAGTTCTTCTCTGATTTTAGTTATTTCTTGCCTTCTGCTAGCTTTTGAATGTGTTTGCTCTTGTTTTCTAGTTCTTTTAATTGTGATGTTAGGGTATCAATTTTGGATCTTTCCTGCTTTCTCTTGTGGGCATTTAGTGCTATGCATTTCCCTCTACACACTGCTTTGAATGTGTCCCAGAGATTCTGGTATGTTGTGTCTTTGTTCTCGTTGGTTTCAAAGAACATCTTTATTTCTGCCTTCATTTCATTATGTACCTAGTAGTCATTCAGGCGCAGGTTGTTCAGTTTCCATGTAGTTGAGTGGTTTTGGGTGAGTTTCTTAATCCTGAGTTCTAGTTTGATTGCACTGTGGTCTGAGAGACAGTTTGTTATAATTTCTGTTCTTTTACATTTGCTGAGGAGAGCTTTACTTCCAACTATGTGGTCAATTTTGGAATAGGTGTGGTGTGGTGCTGAAAAAAAAGTATGTTCTGTTGATTTGGGGTGGAGAGTTCTGTAGATGTCTATTAGGTCCGCTTGGTGCAGAGCTGAGTTCAATTCCTGGGTATCCTTGTTAACTTTCTGTCTCGTTGATCTGTCTAATGTTGACAGTGGGGTGTTAAAGTCTCCCATTATAATTGTGTGGGAGTCTCAGTCTCTTTTTGGTCACTCAGGACTCGCTTTAGGAATCTGGGTGCTCCTGTATTGGGTGCATATATATTTAGGATAGTTAGCTCTTCTTGTTAATTGATCCCTTTACCCTTATGTAATGTCCTTGTCTCTTTTGATTTTTGTTGGTTTAAAGTCTGTTTTATCAGAGACTAGGATTGCAACCCCTGCCTTTTTTTGTTTTCCATTTGCTTGGTAGATCTTCCTCCATCCTTTTATTTTGAGCCTATGTGTGTCTCTGCACGTGAGATGGGTTTCCTGAATACAGCACACTGATGGGTCTTGACTCTTTATGCAATTTGCCAGTCTGTGTCTTTTAATTGGAGCATTTAGTCCATTTACATTTAAAGTTATTATTGTTATGTGTGAATTTGATCCTGTCATTATGATGTTAGCTGGTTATTTTGCTCGTTAGTTGATGCAGTTTCTTCCTAGCCTCGATGGTCTTTACAATTTGGCATGATTTTGCAGTGGCTGGTACTGGTTGTTCCTTTCCATGTTTAGTGCTTCCTTCAGGAGCTCTTTTAGGGCAGGCCTGGTGGTGACAAAATCTCTCAGCATTTGCTTGTCTGTAAAGTATTTTATTTCTCCTTGACTTATGAAACTTAGTTTGGCTGGATATGAAATTCTGGGTTGAAAATTCTTTTCTTTAAGAATGTTGAATATTGACCCCCAGTCTCTTCTTCTGGCTTGTAGAGTTTCTGCCGAGAGATCAGCTGTTAGTCTGATGGGCTTCCCTTTGTGGGTAACCCAACCTTTCTCTCCGGCTGCTCTTAACATTTTTTCCTTCATTTCAACTTTGGTGAATCTGACAATTATGTGTCTTGGAGTTGCTCTTCTCGAAGAGTATCTTTGTGGTGTTCTCTATATTTCCTGAATTTGAATGTTGGCCTGCCTTGCTAGATTGGGGAACTTCTCCTGGATAATATCCTGCAGAGTGTTTTCCAACTTGGTTCCATTCTCCCCATCACTTTCAGGTACACCAATCAGACATAGATTTGGTCTTTTCACATAGTCTCATATTTCATGGAGGCTTTGTTCATTCCTTTTTATTCTTTTTTCTCTAAACTGCCCTTCTTGCTTCATTTCATTCATTTCATCTTCCATCACTGATACCCCTTCTTCCAGTTGATCGCATCAGCTCCTGAGGCTTCTGCATTCTTCAGGTACTTCTCGAGCCTTGGCTTTCAGCTCCATCAGCTCCTTTAAGCACTTCTCTGTATTGGTTATTCTAGTTATACGTTCGTCTAAATTTTTTTCAAAGTTTTCAGCTTCTTTGCCTTTGGTTAGAATTTCCTCCTGTAGCTCGGAGTAGTTTGATCGTCTGAAGCCTTCTTCTCTCAACTCGTCAAAGTCATTCTCCGTCCAGCTTTGTTCTGTTGCTGGTGAGGAGCTGCGTTCCTTTGGAGGAGGAGAGGCACTCTGCTTTTTAGAGTTTCCAGTTTTTCTGCTCTGTTTTTCCCCCATCTTTGTGGTTTTATCTACTTTTGGTCTTTGATGATGGTGATGTACAGATGGGTTTTTGGTGTGGATGTCCTTTCTGTTTGTTAGTTTTCCTTCTAACAGACAGGACCCTCAGCTGCAGGTCTGTTGGAGTTTGCTAGAGGTCCAATCCAGACCCTGTTTGCCTGGGTACCAGCAGCAGTGGCTGCAGAACAGCGGATTTTCGTGAACCGCGAATGCTGCTGTCTCATGGTTCCCCTGGAAGTTTTGTCTCAGAGGAGTACCCGGCCGTGTGAGGTATCAGTCTGCCACTGCTGGGGGGTGCCTCCCAGTTAGGCTGCTTGGGGGTCAGGGGTCAGGGACCCACTTGAGGAGGCAGTCTGCCCGTTCTCAGATCTCCAGCTGCGTGCTGGGAGAACCACTGCTCTCTTCAAAGCTGTCAGACAGGGACATTTAAGTCTGCAAAGGTTACTGCTGTCTTTTTGTTTTGTCTGTGCCCTGCCCCCATAGGTGGAGCCTAGATAGGCAGGCAGGCCTCCTTCAGCTGTGGTGGGCTCCACCCAGTTGGAGCTTCCTGGCTGCTTTGTTTACCTAAGCAAGCCTGGGCAATGGCGGGCGCCCCTCCCCCAGCCTCGCTGCCACCTTGCAGTTTGATCTCAGACTGCTGTGCTAGCAATCAGTGAGACTCCGTGGGCATAGGACCCTCCGAGCCAGTTGTGGGATATAATCTCCTGGTGCGCCATTTTTTAAGCCTGTTGGAAAAGCACAGTATTAGGGTGGGAGTGACCCGATTTTCCAGGTGCCATCTGTCACCCCTTTCTTTGACTGGGAAAGGGAACTCCCTGACCCCTTGCGCTTCCCGAGTGAGGCAATGCCTCGCCCTGCTTCCGCTCGCACACGGTGCGCTGCACCCACTGTCCTGCGCCCACTGTCTGGTACTCCCTAGTGAGATGGACCCGGTACCTCAGATGGAAATGTAGAAATCACCCGTCTTCTGCGTCACTCACACTGGGAGCTGTAGACCGGAGCTGTTCCTATTCGGCCATCTTGGCTCCTCCCTCAATAGCATCTTATTAATGATTTTTGTCAAGATATGACTCTTATACATCGTGTCTATAAATGTACCTAATTAGCTTATGTGGGATGAAAAAAAGAAATAAGATTTCAAAGGTGTCATTGTCAATATATCTACAATAGTAAATTTAGCTCCCTGAAAGTGTCCTCAGTTTTTACAACCTTCTGAAATACGACCTTTTAATAAGTCACTCCGCCACCCTAACTCCATCTGCACCATCTGAAAAAAAAAAACAAGAAACAAATTATGGAATAATCTTCTTGACAGTTCCATATATTTCTAATGAATGGATGTTTCTGAGTCCCCATTGTTTGCCATCTCCACAGACAGGATTCAGTTAATGAAATGGCTAATTAGATTTCTGTAATCCTGTTGTCATTGTGTTTGAGGTGACATTTTGTCGGCATTTCTCTTGTGGCTTCTTCAGTTTAATGGGAAATATTCTTGCTTAGCCAACTTGGCTTTTGCTATTTTGTTGGAAAGGCAGTTCCCTCTATTGGTGTAATGAAATCATTGCCTTCCCAAATATAGCTCTGCCACTCAGCATTTAAATAGAAAAGAATAGGAAAATAATAATCTGATTAGACAAACAGGCCCATGTTCAAAATCCATTTCCAAAATCAAATAATAGAATTGGACTGAGTTCAGAGAGGAAGAATGACTTAGGTATTATTACATACAATAGTACATATTCTTTGACCAGCAGAATGTGGAAGGATTTAAAATCTTATATTCTTCTATTCTTTTTATGCTTCACAAGAGTGAAATTCTTAAAAAAAAATGGGAAGGATCTTATTTCAGGCAGCATTCTTAGACACTACCAACTATATTAGAGCAAAAAAGTGAAAGATCAGGGCCAAAGTCACCATTCAGTTATATATAATTTATATTATTGTAGGAATATATCAATTTTTAATGTCATTTGTATATAAGCTATGTATATATGAATCATTTATGTAATTTACATATATAAGCAATATATGAAAATCATTTTTGTGATTTATATATAAATGATTTAAAACATTAGGATGGTAAGTAGTATTACAATTTAGAATTTGATAATTGTTAAGTATATGACAATTTTATGTATTCGAATTTTAATAAATAGAATTTTATTGCTATAAGTTCTAATTTCTATTTTAAGTCATTTTCCTAGCAGAATGACACAAATTTGGTATTATTTTGAAAGTGATTCCCACACTTTCCATCAGATTATGTCTGAGTTTTTAATTCTTTTTAACTTTACTTGGGAGTGGAGGTTGGATGTATTTATCAAAGCCAAAGATCCACTCAAGCTTTCAACAAGGTGCCTTTAACTCATCTGACCCTCAGTCCTAAGTTCACACAGACCATACTCTTAAATATTCCTTGAGGCTCAGAAATGTTCTCTGCTGTTTCTGTGCTATTCAGAAGCATAGGAGACATCTACTTTCTTTCGACCGGGCATAGAAAATGTCTTTTAATCTAAGCAACTTACCTAACAAGATATGTGATATAGTGATTTTCCCATCCCAGATGTCTCAATTCATCTGTATAACATTATCCTAAATTGAATATAAAACTTCTGTCTCATCTTGAATCCCATAAACTTATATAGGGTTATGCCAGCTCTCCAGTGCTCTACCTCTTTTCTATACTAGAATCACCTTTGTTTATACACTCATCATTTCCATTTAGACCATATTTCCTTCTATGCCTATTCTCCACAAAATATTTATTTTCAAATTAAAAGACAGAAATTGGGAATAATAAAGGCTTGATATTCCTCACGATATCTTCTTCAAAGTTATTTATGTCTGCCGTAATGCTTTTGGTTCTTCAAGGGCCTTTGCTTTTGGGCCAAAAAAAAAAAAATGGCAAAAACAAAGTATTTTGCTCTCATATTCTGCTATGGCACATACATTCCCCGATGTAGTAAGTGAAAGATGACAAAAACTATGAGAAAAAAAGAGAAAAGGAAAATTAGAGAAAGGAGGAAAGAGTGGAAAAAATCAGTTCAAAAGTTCCTACAAGCATACAAAAAGATTGATTGTTCTGTGCCCATAGAAAACATGTGTGATGATTTTGTGTTTTCACCTTGGGTAGACTAAACTTTCTTTTCTGGAATTTCCTTGCTCATATGTTATTTGGGGGGTGAACTACAAGAGTTATTGTCTTACAAAAGTTGGAAGAAGGAAGGGAGAAATAACCATTTTGTATCATGCACATCCATTTTTTTCCTTATCCAATTATACACTAATATAGGTTGTTGTAGTGAAGAGATAATGTAACAAAAATCCGTAAAAAATGGTCATTAATTAAGAGAGATTATCCTGGGTGGGCATTACTTACTCAGTTGGAACCCCGTAGAAAAAGGCTTATTACTTCCCTGGGGAGAGAGAAAGAGACTCACTTTGACAATAGCTTGGCCCATACTCATGAAATTTCAGCCCACGCATGATTCTTCCTTTCTAACTACCTATTATATATGACGTTGGACTTGCATATATGTCTACACATATTCTGCCTCTGTGTCTGAGCTTGACTAATACAACCTATTCAATAATCAATGGCAACTCTGTTAAATAAACACATTTCCATCCAGCGGAGCTGAGTGAGTCTCTTGCTTCTGAAAAAGTCACCCGGTCAACAGTGAACATACTAGCTCTAAGTAGTGTGCCTCTGAATACCAACCAGGCAACAACAGTCTCATTCTAGTGACTGCAATTCTACAAATGATGTCATCTACTGAAACTTCTAGAAGGAAAATCTACCAATCCCTGAACTCCATTTTTCCCTGAATCCCTATATAAAATCAGTAGTCTTCTCTGCTCTGCTCTGCTCACAGAGACTATGACTGACAAGCATAGCTCTCTCTTGTTATAGTGAACAATAAAATCAGCTTTGTCTTTTTATTTTAGATATCTAGTAGCCTCATCATCCTTAAAATACTACTATGGACATTATATAAAAATATTATTCAGATTCCAGCCAGTTGTTGCCATCTGCATTAGCCAGTCCAAGCTAGCTCCATGTTGCCTGGATTATATCCTATTGGAAGTTTATTATTTACCTACAATTATTCTCTGTTTAATCAACCTTATGCAATTTTTACCTGTATTTATTTAAGACTGTTTAAAAGAAGTGCATTTTTTTCAAAAATCAAGTATGCATTTAATTAGGATGAATTCTTATCAAATATTTGGTCAATATTATTTCCTTATATAGCCACTCTCTTTAATATATTCTTAAAAGGATGACTTCGAAAATTGTAGAACGAAGCAATGGAGGAAATAATTCATATAAAGGGGCTTAGCAAAATTCCTAAAACAAAATAATTACCCCTAAAATTGTTGTTATTATTATGCTTAATTAGGATATTTTAATGAAGAAAACTGACTGTATTTTGACAGATAAAATGAATTGAGAATTTTCCTCTTTAATTTGACATGAAGAAAGTGAGAAAGAAAAGAAATAAGCATTTAAAAAAAGAATAACTATATTTTGTAAGAAGTTCATTAAAATGGTTTTAAAGTCCAAATGTAATGTTCAAAACTGAGAATAAGGGAAAAGTGTCAATTTACTTCAGAGAGGGGTGAATATAATGTGGGAAACACTTGAGAAATCACTTCAAAATTCTAGTACACAATTTTATAATCGCTTTTCAAACTATAATCACATTTATGCAGACTAAAATTTGAGAAAGTACTTCAATTAAGATTCATTAACAGTCTATTCAAGTTCAATAGTCAACAATCACTTTTATTTTGATGTATCTAGTCCTTGATTCACTTCTCATGTTTCTGAATATGCTGAAATAGGCCAGTAAATAACACAGAAAAAAAAAGCTAATCTCAATATCTGCTGGAAGTAGAAAATCAAAAAATGTGGAATTAAATGATTATTAAATGCTTTAATTTCCCTGAAATCATTATAGTCTGTAGTTCACATAATATAGAGTATGAATAATAAAGCTGGCTTACCATTTGACTTTTTTTAAGCCATTAACACCATTTTGTTCCTGTTCAAAATACTTCATTTATATTGAGAAAATACCATTTCCGAATAAATAACATGTTCTTTAAACTTCTATTGGTGTACAGTTTAGGATAAGGAAATAAAGCACTTTATCTCAAAAAATATTAATGTGTCTCTTGTAGATCTTATTTCAGATAAATCTGCATTATTGCAAGAAGTTTTCTGATTTCTCTTAGGATACTTTTTAATAACATGATTATCTTTTTTCTCAGTGACAGATTCATCTGTCAAGCAGTATCCCCAATGAGGGTGTGTACAAAAATAGGCCAGTAGTAAAAGCACATGCGATACCTTATTTTTGCAAACTGGGTCGCATTTAACTAACTTTTTTTCCTCCCATGATATTATGAATTATAAAGAACTTTATAAAAGCAAGTAATTGATCTTGTTCTTTTTGAGGCTACTTTTTTTTTTTTTTTTTTTTGAGACAGAGTCTCACTCTGCTGCCCAGGCTGGAGTACAGTGGCACGATCTTGGCTCACTGCAACCTCCGCCTCCCGGGTTCAAACGGTTCCTCTGCCTCAGCCCCCTCAGTAGCTGTGATTACAGGCAGACGCCACCATGCCCGGTTAATTTTTGTATTTTTAGTAGAGAAAGGGTTTCACCATATTGGCCAGGCTGGTCTTGAACTCCTGACCTCGTGATCTGCCTGCCTTGGCCTCCCAAAGTGCTGGAATTACAGGTGTGAGTGAGTCACTGTGCCCGGCTGAGATTTCTTAATAGAATTAGTATCTTATTTGGTCCTATGCTCAGGAAATAAGTGGAATAATGTGCCCATATGCAAATATGTCACGGTATTCATACTATATTTGCTCTAAATATGGAGCAATTTCAGATGTTGCCACTTTTATAATTCAGACACTCATGATAGCCATTATAATTCTTAACCTCATTTTTCATTGATCCAAACACAGCTAAAGATTGAGAATATGTGAGTGGAATAAAGAATGATATAACAAAAAGGAACGGAACCACTGCATGTGGGATAAAATAATGTTGAACTCATTCTAATCATCATTTTATTGTGTACTCCACCCCAATTCCTCTGTATAAGTGTTGAATTTGGTTTAGTAGAATGAGCAAAATCTTTGGAGCAACACAGAGCTGAATTTGAACATAGTTTGGTCAGGTACCGGGCAAAGTAATTTTCCCCTGAAGACCTAAATTTTCTCATCTACAAAATAAATGTAATAATAGCTATCTTATCCATTTGCTGTTAGCATTGCACAAGATAAACATAAAAATTTCTGGAAAAAGATAAGTGAAATAAAACAGAATAGGGTCCAGAAATAGACCCACATAGTCAACTGATCTGTGACAAAGGAGCAAATGTAATATGCTAGAGAAGAGACAGTCCTCAACAAATGGTACTAAAACAATTGGACATCTAAGATACAGAACTTACACCCTTTATAAAGCTATCTCAATATGGATAATAGATCAATGTGTAAAGCACAAAACCATAAAACTACTAGAAGGCAACAAGGGAAAATATAGATGACTTTAAGTATGATGATGAATTTTTTGGTACAACACTATGACTCGTGAAAGAAATAATTGCTAAACTTGGCTCTGTTAAAATTAAAAATCTCTGCTCTGCAAAAGACACTGTCAAGAAAATAAGATAAGCAACTGACTTGGAAAAAAATATTTGCAAAAGACATGTCTGATGAAGAACTATTATCCAAAATATACAAAGAATTTTTGAAACCCAACAATAAGAAAATAAATGGTTAAAATATCTGAATGAAAAATTCACCAAAAAAGATATACAGATGAAAAATAAACATATGGAAAGATGCTCCAGATGATATATCGTTAGAGAATTGCAAATTAAAACAATGATACCCAGTACACCTATTAACATGGCCAAAATTCCAAATACTGATGCTACGGTTTAAATGTGTCACCTTCAAAATTCAGGTGTTGCCAATATGATAGTATTAAGAGGTGGGGCCTTTAAGAGCTAATTAGGCCATAAGGGCTCATTTCTTGTGAATAAGATTAAGAAACTTTTAAAAGAGACTTTATGAAGCATTCAGTTAGCTTGCCCATCTGCCTATCACAATAGGAGGAAACAGCATTCCTCTTCGTCCAAGGATGTAGCAAAAAAGCCATCCTTTCTGAAAGAAGCTCTCACTAGACAACTGAACCTGCCAGCACCTTGAGTTTGGACTTTCCAGCTCCAAGACTATGAGACAATAATTTCTGTTCTTTATACATTACAGTCTCAGGTATTTTGTTTTAGCAGCACAAAATGAATGAAGACTACCAATAACACCAAATGATGGTAAGGATGTGGAGCAAGAGGAACTCTCTTTCATTGTTAGAAGCAATGTAAAATGGTACAGCCACTTTGAAAGACAGTTTGGCAGTTTATTAGAAAAGTAAACATACTCTTAGCATACTATTCAGCAACTGTGTTCCTTGGTATTTACCGAAAAGGACTTGAAAAACAAAGGCTTTTGTGTCCACACAAAAACCTGCACATGAATGTTAATAGCAGATTTATTCATGATTGCCAAAACTTGGAAGCAACCAAGATGCCCTCCAGTAGGTGAATGGATAAATAAACTGAGATACATTCAGGCACTGGAATCTATTCAGTGATAAAAAGAAATGAGGATTCAAGCCATAAAAACACATGGATGAAACTTAAACATACACTACTAAGTGAAAGAAGCCAATTTGAAAAGGCTACATACTGTATGATTCCAACCATATAATATTTTTAGAAAGGGCAAAACTATGAAGACAGTAAAAAGATCAGTGGTTGCCGGTAGTTAGAAGAAAGGGAGGAAGGAAGAATTAGAGGAATACAGAGGATTATTAGGGCAGTGAGACTATCCTGTATGATTCACAGGTGGATACATGTTATTGTACAACTGTCAGAATCCATTTAATCTAAAGCACCAAGAGAGACCCTTAATATGAACAATGGACTTTGAGTGATAATGATGTCTCAATGTGGGTCCATCAGTTGTAATGAATATACCACTCCAGTGCAGGATGGTGACAACAGAAGAAGCTATGTATGTATGGGGCCAGGGGATATATAGGAATGCTGAAATTTCTGTTCAATTTTTCTGTGATCTTAAAACTGCTCTTTTAAAAAGTCTATTTTTTATAATCCTGGATAGTAAAATAAAAATGTTAAAATTTTTTAAAAAAATCTTTTTATTTTAATTTGCTATATTAGAGGCCCAGTTATTGGTAGAAAAGTAAAAATTTTGATTTTCTCTGAGAAAGACCAAAAATACTATTCTTCTTTCCAAGTTAAGGAATGCTTTGTGTTTTTTATTCTCAAAAAGAGTTTCAGAACTTTCTGTTGATTATTATTTTACCCTGGTTTTGATGAGCAATTGGCTTCTTGTTGATGTGTTTTTAAGTATTATTTTGACAAAAAATGAGGGGAGTGCAATTGATCTTCATAATGAGGAACAGTGTGGATAAGAAACAAAGACAGAACAGGGAGAAAAAAGTGGAGAGAACAGAAAAAAATAAATCTCTGAGAAAGAATATTTGGGGCTGAGTTAGAATGATAAAATTTTCTGTAAAAAGCACTAACTTCAAGAAGCAGTAAAACAAAGTCCTCTCCAGCCATCTATTCAGTTTGTAATCCAGGGGAAGCTGACTGTACTCAGAGCTGTCACACAATTTTAGGTCTCTGGAAGTGGACTTGATGCCTGGCTCATGCCACATATCCTTAACCCGTAACTATCTGCCAAACTTTGAGAGACTACTATATCCTTTAATATCCTCATGGCAAATATAACATTAAAAGCATCCATGAACAGGGTCCGGTGTGGTGGCTCACACCTGTAATCCCAGCACTTTGGGAGGCCGAGGCGGGCATATCACTTGGGGTCAGGAGTTTGAGACCAAGCTGGCCAACGTGGTGAAACGCTTTCTCTACTAAAAATACAAAAATTAGCCAGATATGCTCTCTTGAACCCAGGAGGTGATGGATGCAATGCCACTGGACTTCAGCCTGGGAGACAGAGCGAGACTGTCTCAAAACAAAACAAAAAAGGTATCCATGAACAATAAGCGACAGGCCCCATGCCTGTGGGTCGGAATTTACCTGAGAATGCTGGAATACTTCACATTTTCAGCGTGAGAACAAATCGCAGGCAAAGAAATAACACAGGACATAAATGAGAGTATAACCAGCTTTGTATCAAGCAGAGCCTAACTCCAAAAACTAGTGATGCAAACAGGGGTAAGAAACTGTACTGTGGAAAAGCAGCACTGGCATGAATTAGAATTCCAGCTCCAAAACTAATTAATTGATATCTTTATTCATTCATTCAAAAAAGCATTTTTGATGTTCCAGACACTGGATTATATGATGTTGAGCTAATATTAATAATCTTTCTAATTCACACTTTCATTATGTATAAGTAGGTGTTGATAATAATTGTCTACCTGAATATATTTTAAAAATCTGAGATACTATGTTGTCAATATCTGAAAAATCTACAACACTATGAACAAAATGGTTATTAAATAATATCCAAAACAATGTATTAAGCCAAGTTGGGAGGGAGAGTTTATTCATCTAAGAAAATGCTCTGTGTCAGGCTACAGGCTAGAAATTGCAAGCTTTCTTCGATTGGAAGTAACATAATCATAATTCACATTTAATCTTTTATTCCTTACCTCTTACAATACACATACAAACCACATTTTTTCCTGTCTTAGAAACTCATATTCCTTTATGCAGTTACCTGGAATTGAAGAACCTTACTACATTTTGAAACACAGGGCTTAGCAAAACTTCTTTTAATTTCATGTGAGAGTAAGATGCAGTCAGATGTTTGTTTTATTTGTACTAAAGACTAACACATTCCATATTACAAATGCCAGAGTGGAAAACTGAAGTCCCAATTCTAGTCTATTGGGAAACCCAAAAGAAAGTGAAATTAAAGAGTAAGATTTGCCTGCTACTAAACTGCAGAACATTTCTTGTACTAGGGATGAATGATTCAATTCAATTCCAATGCAGAATGATGTGAGAATGAAACTGATAGGAGAGCAAATGGAAACAGCTGTGTTTTATTGCAACACAGACAGTCGGCACATTTTGCTGCTGATTTATAATGAAAATGGAAATTGTAAGTGACAGGCTGAGGGTAGTTTATAAAGCAAACATTTGGAAGCCTTGGAGGTGATATTGCTTTATGAAAGGCAACCATCTGACCCACCTTTTCCATTCTGCATGGTTGCTGAATTCCCTTACTGAGATGAAAGTACATTTTTACCTCAAAAAAAAAAAAGTGCTTTGGAACTAGAGTAAAGCAAAGTCTCACAGAATCCAGCAAAGTTTCATAGAACCCAGAGTGCATGTGATGGTTTTCTAAGTTCTTATCTAAAATCAGTTATTAATCAGAACCTCCCTGGTTTAGAGAACTTTGGCCCTGCACCCTTGGACAATAGGGTTTTTTGTTTTTTTTTTTTTTTGGTCTACATCACAAGAAGTCTAAAAATAGGCAGTTTGGAGCCATGGCTCAAAAATCTGGATAGTGATCCAGGATCTTTCTGTCTTTTTCTTCCTCCTGTGTGGATTTCATATTTTCTCTTTTGCTGCTGCACCTCCAAGCATGGTGTCCCAGTGACCATATCTAGATGAAGATGACTGGGAAGAAAGGGTTGAGTTTGAGTTGAGTCAGCAGTCAAATGGGGACCCAAATTACTATTAGTAAAGGTAACAATATTTTCTGCATTTCAGAGGTAGTTTCTATAATATATGCAAGTAACTTTGATGCATAAATATGTTTTTGTTCTGGTTACACAACTGTATTTCAGTCTTGTAACCAGGTATTTTCTGTTTGCCATGGCCCTTTTATTCCTAAGTACAGAGGCAATTTGGCTCAAAGGTTGGTCAAATACAACCTTGCACTGTAATTGCTAACCATTTTCTCTAACATTCATTCTTGCAGCTGAATCTAGATGCATTCTTCCAGATTTGCAGTAGTTTGTATGATTTGTCTTACAGAGACCTGTTTATTGCCTCCTGCCATTTCAAAACACATAAGAAGCTTTTGTGACACACGCACACACACACGCACACACCTGCACACAGATACTCTCTAGATCTGGGTGATATTACCTATTTAAACACTAACATAATTTAACCCATCTTATGACACACTAAGAAAGATGATGTTCTAACAGATCATTTTTTTTCTTTTGGCCTTGTGAAAAATATCTATTACTTTGGCCTTAGGTTAATTTAAGCCTGGATCATTGCCAGTGTTTACAGTGGGTTTTCTTTAATGTGTGAAAGCCAGTTGGCAAAATAATGCAGTGAGCCAAGTTGGGAGGGGAGTTTATTCATCTTAAAAAATGCTCTGTGTCAGGCTACAGGCTAGACATCACAAGAAGCTAAGAATGAGTATGTCAAATTCTTAAGAAGGAAGCCGACAGAAACAGAAATAATTGCAACACAGGGTGACAATAGGCTACCTCAACATCATGAACAAGCTATGATGGAAAAACAGAAGATGTATTGAGAAGATATATTAAGTATGCCTGGGAGAGCAAAAAGATACTTTATAACAGAGTTATATGGGCTGGGGCCCATGGAGACAGGAAGTGTGTAGATATTTTTTACTCAGGAAAAAATAAGTAAATCAAAATAACAATAAAACAAACAATAATAATAATATAAAAGATTGGGAATAAATGACAAAAACAATGGGGAAATATATTGAAGTTTCTTTTTAATTATTTTCTTGTTGGTGAGGATGAAAAATAACTTACATTCAGATTTTTAATTGGGGGGGGTCCCGTAACCCAACTTTTGAAATTTTGAATGCCATCTTTCAAAGCAATGTGCAGGGTGGCCTCCCTCAGAGATGGCTAGCTCTAGGGAGTTTCCTTTCACCAAAACTTTTCGCAAGAGGCCTTCCTATTGTGTTGGAAAAGTTACTGACTTTTGGTTTCAAATGTATCTGGTTTACAATTGTTCTTTGACAACTCAGTAGCTCAGTAACAGGCAAATTTTATAAACTCTGTATTAGTTATCTATTGCTGAATGACAAATACAGAAAAAAAAACAATCCACAGAAACAACAATAAAAAATTTGATGGATTAAAATACTTATTACCTTTTCTGTCTGTCATAAATTTGAGAGTGGCTTAGCAAGGAGGTTTTCACTCAAGTCTCTCATAAGGATTCATACAAAATGCAGTCAAGATGGCAGGAAGTCTCAGTCTCTGTTGGCCAGAGGTCTCCATTCTTTGCCATATGTTTCTGTCCGTAAGGTTGCTTGTGTGTCCTCATGATATGGCTGTTGGCTTCCCCACAGTGAGTGATCCTAAAGAGAGCAAGGAAGTAGCCACTATTTCTGTTATAACCTGGTCTTGGAAGTGGCATGACACCTCTTCCACCATATTCTGTTTATTACAAAATAGTCACTAAGTCCATCTCAAATTAAAGGGAAAGAAAATTAAATTTCACCTGTGGAAGGAAAGGGTATCACTAAATTTTGAGGCATACTTTAAAACCACCACACTCTCTAAGCTTGTTATGTCCTTATTTGTAAAATGGCAATGCATGTAAAAGAGATAATGTAATTATTCTTAACTCTGTGAGAGTCAGCTGTTAAAAAAAAAATCTCAACTCTTCCCTCCCTTACCCATATTTTCTTCCCCATCTTACTCCTTTTCTTCCTTCTTTTTATTCTCCTTGTTGTGGTTGTCATTACTGTCATAATCATCAGTATTACTACATCCTGGCCTTTTTCAGAAGATATATTATGTGACTTAGTAAATTTGGAAATGGAAGGTAGGAGAACTTTCTCTAATTTGTGCTGACCATAGATAATTTACTGAATACTTTTATGGGCAAAGCACTCTGTCAAGTGCCATAAATAAATATCTATTCATATCATCCTCACCATATATGACTAGGCAACCTCACTCTTTTTTTTTTTTAATATAAAGTAACATAATGGAGCTATTTCATGACTGGCTTCAAATGATCATCTGTGAAGTGATGAAAGCAGAGTTTAAACTCAGGCCATCCAATGTCAAAGCCATGGTCTTCCCATCATGCTATGCTGCCACAGGTTCCTCTGTCTCTATGCATTTTGGAAAATTGTAGAAACCAAATGGGAGAAACATGATATAGAAAAACGTAAACAACTACAGAACATTTTATGAACTTTGTTTAAATTTTTTTTAATTTATAAACAAGAAGAGATGATAGAGCTAAAATAAACAAAAAAGTTAAGTGGGAAAACCACAATCATCAGGGATTGCGCATAGTCTTTATTGATTTGGAGATACGTTGTTCTGCAAAGGAAGCATTTATAAAACTTTTATTCTCATGTAGTTTTAACATAGCCCCATGAAGTTAGAAATCTAATTCTATAAAAGTGGTTACTGAAAGAAAATAATTTTCAAACTTCAGTTTTCAACCTACTGTCTACAGTAGCTTCTGTACACTTGAAACAATAAAATTGGCTATTTATATTACTTTATCTCTGACTCTTTAGAATGGAATTATTTCATCAATACCTTTTTGCTAAGGAATGTAGACATCCCTACATTTTGGAATTTTTATTGCAAGTACATACAGTTTTACTCATAAATTGAATTTTTATCTCCACAATATTTGAGTAAATTATGAGGATTCAAAACAAAAGTGTGAAACTGTCATCGGGAGGAGAAAGATTTCAAATAACTTTATTATGTCTCATAAATCTAGGGAGATAGTGTTATATCATAAATTAAATATTATTTTTTGGGAGATAAAGGAACTGATTTTCAGTAAAAGGACTGTTCCTAACTAGTCGTGAGAGTTTGGAAGACTCATTTAAACTTGATGGACCACCACCAGCTCCACCTTAGAGCCAATGAACTGTAACTTTCCAATAGCATTATTTAATGTGAAAAGACTTTCTGTGAATTATTGGATTTACAACATGAGTAATTAGTGATTTTAGCAAATAAGGTATACTAAGAAGTAAAAACGACAGTATCAGCGCTGTACATCATTTAGCAGGTTGTATCTTGTAGCTGTGCAATGTGTTTGTCTGTGTGTGTGTGTGTGTTTCAGCTTGTTAGATTCTCCAGGTAACTTTGTAGATCCAGTCTGATTTAGCTTTTGTTAAAGTTTCCTCTTCAACAAACAGAAGACTGTTTATTCAAAATATTCACTCAGTATGGCACTAAGATTTCTAAAGCCTTTACATTAAAATAATGCAGGTAGCATAAGACTGATAAAACTGGGGCCGGGCGCTGTGGCTCACGCCTGTAATTCCAGCACTTTGGGAGGCCGAGGCGGGTGGATCACGAAGTCAGGAGATCGAGACCATCCTGGCTAACACGGTGAAATCCCCTGTCTACAAAAATACAAAAAACTTAGCCGGGTGTGGTGGCGGGAGCCTGTAGTCCCAGCTACTCCGGAGGCTGAGGCAGGAGAATGGCGTGAGCCTGGGAAGCGGAGCTTGCAGTGAGCCGAGACCACGCCGCTGCACTCCAGCCTGGGTGACAGAGAGAGACTCCGTCTCAAAAAATAAAAATAAAAAAGACTGATAAAACATGGCCAAAAAAAAAACACCTAATTGATTAGAAAGTTATGCAGTCTTTTCACATATGACATAAGGACACACCTATCTTTTCACAGTTTTTTTGTTTGTCTATTTTTTGCATAAACGTTAAGAAATTCACATCCCCGTTATATTTCTTATTGAACTAGTCTACTAATATTACACCCATAGTGAACAGATCAGGTTGATGAGAGCAACTGTAGTAAACCAGTATCTATTTCTCATTTTAAATTTACTGATTCAGCCAACTGCACTGATTTAGAAAAGAAAAATACCTTATGATAGATCTGAGAATGCTTAACAAACATTATTGCAATTCTGAAAATGCTTTTACTGTCTGTTTCATTCCGGCTTCTGCCAAAAATACCTATGGATCACGTTTAATACACTGTGGTGTATGCTTAAACCTTGACATAATGGGAGAAACACTACAACTTAATATTGAATGAGGTAGTATTGGATTCTTTGTGTCTATAACAATATACTTTTCTACCAATGCATGTCTCATAAGTTTTATTTCATTTCATTGGCATTTAACAAAAAGGAGTTTTGATTTCTTACCCCTTTGAGGTACACCTGCATTTTTCTCGCTCTGTTCTTCTTGCAAGTGTTTCAAAATATTCACTCAAAAGAATTGAGACCGTCATAGGAAGCAATGGGAAATTTTTAAAAGGGTAATAATAACTGAGGTTAGATGTATCCTCAGACAAAACAAAACACAATTGTTTGCTTTATTAACAAGCCCTACTTCTCAACATATTTAGGTGTTACATTTTCTATAGAAAAAGAAAGTATGGAGTTTAAAAGCTTCACTGTTTTATGCAAATTATGGTATTAAGAAGGTGATATTATTGATGTAGGATATTTTCTTGACCTCTTCAAGTGACTCGTGACAGGGGTGCCCTGTTCGCTCAGCCCACCCTGCTCAACCCCTCGGGGGAGGGAGCACACCAGTGAGGGAGGGGAAGGGAGCGAGCAAGTGCAAGAACTGGCAGGTGGCCTGGCAGGAGCAAACTCCCCTTCACTCAGATCTGCAGGGCTCCACCCCATGTAGGAGGGACCATGCAAGTGGAACAAGTGCACGAACTGGCCAGCTACTTCAACACTGGCAGGAGCAATGTCCATGCAGTCCCCGCCGCGGCATCCCATTGTGGTGCTTGCGACCCCAAGGCCCAAGAGGGCGTTTTACAATACTCTATTAGCCCCACCATCCACAGATAGTAGTGTATTATCAGCTTAGTGGGCCCTTTGCGTCATCACGTGGGGTGGTTGACCTCTCCCAGCAGGGCAAAGGGCCAATGTGACAGCCTTTCAGGGTACCTGTACTTGGTGCCTCTTGAATTCTTGTCCATTGCCCAAGAGCAATGAGGTCACATGGATGAATTGAAAGATGGTGAATGTGGAGAATTTTACTGCTTGATGAAAGAGGCTCTCAGTGGAGAGGGGAGATGGAAAGAAGATAGGAAGTGCAGGTCGCTCTCCCTGGAAGTCAAGCTGCCTCTCTCTCTCTCCTGAAGTCAAGTTGTTTCATCCAGCTGCTGTCTCTGAAGTCAAAGTCACCTCTTCCTGACATCCAGCCCTTCTTCCCAATGTTCAGCAGCTTCTCCTCTCTGCCAGCTATGTCCGGGGTCTTTATAGGTAGAGGTTATGGGCATGGTGGGCTGAAGGTAGTTTTGGAAAATGCAACATTGGATGGGTAAAAAGATATTATTTAGAAAGAACCTATCAGGAGAGGGTGGGCACACAGGGATAGAAGTTCTCACTTTCAGCCACAGGTTTCAGGCTTTTTGGCTTGAAGGTGGGGCTTCACCAGGAACCCGCTTCTGTCTGCCTAGAGTTTCTCTGCCTCCTGTCTCTGTCATTATTATGATACACATATGATAGTTATTACTAATTTAGATTATCATCAGATCTACCTGAATGTCCTAATAGAATATCTCCTTGTTTATTCATTTGTTTGTTTACTTAACAGCTCTTAAGTGGATAGTATATGCTGGACACTACACAATATCCTGGATATAGATAATAAGCAATAAAGAAAAATATTATTCTTATTCTCCTTGGTCTTACTCTTTTATAAATTAAACAAATACTATCTAATAATTGCAGAAATATGTATGTACAGGTGGTAAAAATTCTGTGAAGGAAAAGTAATCAGTTTAATAGGAGTATTTAATGATGGAGCCTGAACATGGCATAACAAAGTTTACCAAAGAAAAATAAAGAATAGCAAAGAAAGAAATGGATACTAGACAGAGGAATAGGGGGAATACATTCCATGTGCAAACATCCTGTAGACTTGTATTTTCAAAAGCCCTGTGGAAGGGTCTAGGCAGGTTTGAGAGAAAGATATAACTAGCATGGTGCTTAAGACTTAAGGAAAAGACTACCTATAATGCAATTTAAGAAGGTAGTAGGAAGCAAATCATGTAGGAATTCATAGACCACAGTAAGGATCTTGTGCTTATCCTATAAGGAAGGAGAAAACATTGAGAAGTTTTAAACAGAGAGTCTGTAGTGATTGATATGTGTATGTGTTTGTATGAGTCCATAATATTTGCCTTTTGCAAAGGATATTTCTGTTTCAGGAGCAAGGATGTATTTTTTCCTTACAACTTCATGAATAATGATTATTTCAGTTTCTGTTTACATTTTGAAACTTCAGTTTAATTGCTTTTATGTTGGAAAAATTATAGAAAGTGAGATATCAAACTGTGTTTTAAAAATATGAAAATATAATATGAATCTATATATAATAACCTTCAAAAACAAAAGCACCAGGTTCAGATAACTTCATAGGTAAATTTTACCAAACATTTAAAAAATATAATACTAATTTTCTGCAATATTTTCTAGAGCATAGAAGCAGAGGAAATCCTTTCTAAATCATTAAAGTTATCTAATACCTAAAAAAGGCAAAACATTAAAAGAAATGAAAAGTACAGACCAATATCTCTCATGAAGGTAGATGCAAATATCTTCAAAATATTTGTAAATTGTATCCAACAAGGCTTAAAAATCATTATACTCTGTGACCAGGTGGGATTTATTCCAGATATGCAAGTCTTCTTCATTATTTAAAAAATAATATCACATCAACAGACTCAAGAAGAAAAATCATTTATATGTATATGCAGAAGAAAACATTTAACAAGGTTCAACCCATGTTTGTGACAGAAATGCTCAGTAAAATAGGAATAAAGGGGAACTTCCTCAAATTTATAAAAAAGGTCTACAAAAAAGCCCATGCTACCATGATACTTAATGGTGAGAAAATAGATGATTTTCCCCCAAGGTTGGGAGCAAGGTGGAATTGGTCTTCTCACCACTCCTAGTCAACATTGTACTAGAAATCCTAGCTAAAACAATAAAATAAGGGAAGAAAAGAAAAGGTGTACATACAGAAAAGAAGAAATAAAACTGTCTTGTTTTGTCTATATAAAATATTCAAAGGAATATATATATGTTTATATATGAATATATAATATGTTTATATATGTGAATATACCTTTATATACAAAGGAATATATATTCATATATATGTTTATATATAAATATTCATATATATGTTTATATATAAATAAACATATATGTTTGTATATGTGTGTATATTTATGTGTATATACACATACACACACACACAGTCATGTGTCACATAATGACATTTAGGTCAATGATGGCCTGCCTATATGACAGTGGTCCCATAAGTTTATAATGCAGCTGCCCTAAATAGGTGTTCCATTTTTTAATCTTTTATGCCATGTTTTCACTGTACCTTCTCTATGTTTAGTCATGTTTAGGTACACAAACACATATCATTGTATTATAATTGCCTGCATTATTCAGCATGGTAACAAGCTGTACAGGTTTGTGGCCTAGAAGCCATAGGCCATAATGAGGCAGGAAATTAAAGAAAAATAAAATTAAAAAGAAAGAGAAATAAGTTTTCTTGTATTAGGCTGACTTGTCCCAGAGGCAGCAAGAGGCACAGCCCAGACCCAGGAAAAGTCTTGATAATATTATCTAATGTACTCTGGAGACTCTCCCAGCACTCCCTCAACATAGGGAGAAGAAAAACAAATTTTCCTTTGTTTTATGGAATGAGTTTATAGATTCTTGTTCTCTGTAACTAGTGACTTCAAATATTCTGTTTCATCTAAGAAGTACAACGAAGGTCATGAGAAGCCTGACCTACAGCTGCCTGGGCACCATAGTGAAAGTTATAGGATAAGCCCATATCCAAACCTAGATAACGAACATCTGGGTTGCTTGGCAATGGTCATATGCAATCCTGCCTTTGTCCTGCCTCTGCATCCCCGCTTTCACGCCACGGTAAGCTTGCTTCAAGCTAGCCCACCCACTTTTGTGAAGTGTGTATAAAAGCCAGATGCTGTCTTTATTCCGGGCCCAATTTTTTGGACGTAAGTCAGCTGGGCCTGACTGCGCTCAATAAAGATTCTCCTGTTTCAATCTGAGGTCTCTCTCATCCTCCTGAATCCCGGAGCATTTCTATATAGCCTAGGTGTGTAGTAGGCTATACCATCAAAATTTGTGTAAGTACATACTATGATGTTCACGTAACAAACAAAATCACCTAACACGTTTCTCAGAATGTATCTACATCTTTAGATAACTCTTGAGTATATGACTATATATATGTATATACACGCACACATACATATATACTCCTAAAATTAATAAGCAATAATTGCAAGATTGCAGGATATACGGTTGGTATACAAAAGTCAATTACTTTCCTATATGCCAACAATGGACAATTGAAATTTGAAATTAAAGGAAAAAATACATTCTGTTTACCTTAACACTCTCAAAATCGAAATATTTAGATAAAAATATAACAAAATATGTATAAGATCTATATGAGAAAAACTATAACTCTGATTAAAGGAATCAAATAACTAATTCAATTAAGAGATAGTTCATATTTATTGATAGGAAAATAATATTCTTAAAATGTCAGTTTTTCTCAACTTGATCTATACATTCATATTGTTTAAATAAAAAAATGCAGCAAATTACTTTGAGGGTATCAACAAATGGATTTTAAAATTTATGTGAAAGGCAAAAGATCCAGGATAGTCAACACAATATTGAAGAATCAGAACAAGGTCACAAGACTGATACTATTCGATTTCAAGACTTACTGTAAAGCTACAGTAATAATGCCAGTGTGATATCAGTGTAAGATTGGACAAATAAATCAATAGAACAAAATAGCCTAGAAATAGCTCACACAAATATAGTCAATTGATCTTTGACAAAGGAGCAAAAGCAGTGCAATACAGCAAAGATAGTCTTCTCAACAAATGGTGTTGGAACAAATGAAAGTTCACATGCAAAGGAAGTGAATCTATACCCTGATCTTACACCTTTTACAAAAATTTACTCAAGATAGAACACAGATCTAAGTGCCAAACACAAAAAGATAAAACTTCTAGAAGATAAAATAAGAGAAAATCTGACTGAACTTTGGTTGGACAGAGAGTGTTTAGATATATCAAGAATGTAAGCCATGAAAAAAAATTGCTAAGTTGAACTTCATTATAATTAGAGATGCGTCGTCTGTGAGAGTCACAATTAAGAGAGGACAAGGAAGCCACATAAAATTTTTGCAAAACACATGTCTGATAAAGGACTGGTATTCAGAATATAAAAAGTACTCTTAAAATTCAACGCTAAGAAAACAACCCAATTAAAAAATGGGCCAAACAGCTAACGCAGGAGGCTGAAGTGGGAGGATCGCTTGAGCCTGGGAGTTTGAGGCTGCAGTAAACTGTGATCCAGCCACTGCATTCTGGCCTCGGCAACTGAGCGAGACTGTCAAAAAAAAAAAAAAAAAAAAAAAAAAGTGAGGGGGCGGAAGACCTTAACAGACACTTCACTAATGAAAATACAGATGGCAAATAAGTATATGTAAATATATTTAACATCATATATCATTAAAAAATTTCAAATAAAAACAGCAATGAGAGATCATTACACCCTTGTTATAATTGCTGAAATTCAACACTGACAATACTTATTTATTGCTGGTAGAAATGCTGAATGGCTCAGTCACATTGGAAGGCAGTTCGTCAGTTTCTTAAAAAACTGAACATATTTTTTCTGACTAAATGATCCAATAATAACGTTGCTTGATATTTACCCAGAGGAAGTGAAAACTTACATCTACACAAGATCCTGTGTACAAAAGTTAATAGCAGTTTTATTCATAATTGCCCCAAAATGGAATCAACTGAGATATTCTTTATTAGGTCATGGAAAAATGAATATTGTCATTCATTCTTCCCCTACAGAGCGAAGATTGTAAAAAATCACTTTGATTTTAAGAGATTGGCAAATATCTTAAATCCCACCTACATAATTAAAGAAACCAATATGCATAGTGTTCTAGAAGATGAAACAGTCAAACTGGAAATAAAAGTTGGTTATAGTGAACACTGCTTTCTTTAAAACATATATACAATCTATATAAAATGTCAAGTAAGAGTAAAAATGTTTTATTGTGTAAATGAGTTATATAACGTCCTTCTTTATCCTTCATTTCCTAAAAAGATGATACCTACTTCTTAGGGTCACTTAATGGGTAAAAGGGAAATAATGCATATAAAATGTACTTGATCAGTTTTGTTTTCTTTTACAGCTCCTCTGTATATTGAAACACACAGGCCCACACATACACACAGGAATCTGAGCTTCTATTTACAGCTTTCCAAGTCAAGCTAGGGGAAAAAGTGCAGCCTTTATCAGGAGTGGAGATAAATTAGCTAAATTCTAATTGGTCTGTAGCTAGACTAAAAACCCTCAATCCACTGTATAGGTAGGTTGTATAGTAGACACTCTCAAAATGTAAAACATCTCACAGTTCTAGACTCTGTAAATGTCATGACATTCTTTTATTCACAGGGGTGAGCACTGAGAATGTCTGGAAGAAAGAGGTAAAGATCTACACAGGGAGTGGTCAAACACTTTCATTTCCTGGGAATAGTATAAAAGATTCTGCATTCTAGATAAACCTCTTTTCATAGACTGAATCCTCTCCAAAGGGCATGTGAACTGTTGATAGCCATCAATTCCACAAACCAGTTTATTTTCTCAATTCCAAATGCCTTGTGTGTCTAATATCCACTTTCATTTTCCACTCCTAGTGGAAATAATGTTGATATTGTTCTGCTGTCAGTTGAAATGTGCAAATGGAAACTTATGAGGAAATTTGTTCTAACACTACAAACAGTAAATAATTTTAGTCTGTTTATTCTGATGAGGAAACTGATGTGTCTGTTTTGTTATTTCCTTCCCTCTGTTGTTATTACGGGCATCCAATTTTGAAAGCACAGTGTGAAAAATCATAGTGGTTGTTGGAATGTTTTATAGGAGAAGTCAGTTTATTTTTTTTGCTTCATTAATAAAAAATATTTTATATATATATATGTGGTACATATGAGTACTTGTTACATGTGTAGTATGTGTAATGATCAAGTTCATGTTTTTTTTTTCTTTTCTTTTTTTTTGACGGCGTCTCACTCTGTCCCTCAAGCTGGAGTTCAGTGGTGCGATCTTGGCTCACTGCAACCTCCACCCCCGCCAGGTTCAAGCGATTCTCCTGCCTCAGCCCCCTGAGTAGCTGGGATTACAGGTGCGTGCCAGAGCACATGGCTAATTTTTTGTTGTTGTTGTTGGTTTTTTTTGAGATAATCTCACTCTGTCGCCCAGGCTGCTGGAGTGCAGTGGCGTGATCTCAGCTCACTGCAACCTCCGCCTTCTGGGTTCAAGCGATTCCTCTGCTTCAGCCTCCCGAGTAGCTGGGATTACATGTGCGTGCCACCACACCCAACTAATTTTTGTACTTTTAGTAGAGACAGGGTTTCACCATGTTGGCCAGGATGGTCTCAATCTCTTGACCTTGTGATCTGCGCACCTCGGCCTCCCAAAGTGCTGGGATTGTAGGCGTGAGCCACCGTGTCTGGCCAAGTTTATGTTTTAAGTAGCCTATAGACACTGGGCCTGAAGAAAGCTTGATGGTATTTTAAGTTACCATCTATCCCTTGTCTTCTGGGGTGGCAAACAGCAGCCCTTAGGTTACACATCCAACACTGAATCCCACATAGTCAGATACAAACATCACAGTTGCTTCACTTCAGGATGAAAACTCCACACTCTTTGCAAGATAATTCTTTTATTCAATATTCAAAAAAAGAAAATGCTTATTTGCAGCTACTTCCAGCTAGGAAATGAGTTTAGTACAGGTATAATCTAACCATATGGAGTTTGCATTCTAGATGCAAAAATAAATGACAAGTGAATAAACTATTGATATAGTGTTTACATATCTTATATAATCACTTATAACAATGTTATAACAATATTATAAAGAAGAAAACAAAGTGCTGGTGTAGAAAAAGTTAATAGTATGAGGTGGGCGAGATTTATTTTAGGAAGGGTGTCTGTTAAACACCCTAAAAGTTCTGTTAAACATAACATTTAGGCTAAAACATTAAGAAATAAAACAAGCAAATGGGAGAGGAGGAGGGGAATCTTTCAAACAGAAGTAACATCAGGTCAACAATCTCTGAGCTGCAAAGAGCTAAGTATGCTTCAAAATCTAAAAAAAAATAAGATCAAAAAGGTGACAGTCTATGAGTAAAGATGGAAGTTATGCAACATAGACGTGAATAAACAATGAGTCATATAATAAAGAGCTGGCTTATTGAAGGTTTAGGAGTGAAGTTCCAGGCTTATTTTTATCCATTGGCTGACCATTGAAATATTTAAATAGGAAGCAACAGACTTACCTTTAGATTTTAAAGGAACTAATTCTTACTATTTAATTATAAATGGATTACAATGGGCGCTGACTGAGAGTATTCAAGAGTGAGAAAATACTGGCCTGGATAATGATAGAACAGTGTGGAATGGGTGTGGAGAGCAGGACCCAGTCGAGACCTGATTTGCAAACTGAACTGATAAAATATGCTGAAGGATGAGATGTAGAAATGAGGAAAAGCATGTAGTTGGCATTCACATCTAGACTTCAGGTATGAGTATTTGTAATGTGGTGGCTTCATTTTCTATGGTAGGAATGCCTAAAGCAGAGGCAGTGGAAATCAAAGTCATTTTATAGTTAAATTAAGTTTGAGATAACTCAGAATCATCTAAAATAGTCAAGCACTGATGCATATTTTTGTTATTCAGATGTAAGTTAATAGAGTAGCATCAGCTAAAAAGGTTATTTATCTCTAGAATGAAAGAGATTCCCTTGAGAAGAAGGAGAAAAAGAAAAAAAGCACATGATTGTATTCTGAGCAACTCAATGTTAAGTGCTTGAAAGCAGTTTAAATCCTATCCCTTTTTGATTTATCCAGGTACATATGACAGAGAATTGTGTGTGTGTGTAGACGCTCTCCATATATAGAGTCTTTAATTTAGCTGTTTGTCTTTTATTGCTGTTGAAATACTATAGACAGCATCCTAAGTTTAAAACCATATTTCTTTGAGAAAAAAAAAACCTTCATAGTTTATGAAATCTTGGAGCTGCCCAGATTTTTCTATTCAACACTTGCATTTTCACTGAATAACTGCACAACGTTCAGTTTCTTTTGGCTAGTGGAGGCAAAAATTGAAATTTTAAAAGCTAGGCCACAGAGGAAGAGAGGTTGTTTTTTTTTTTTCTCCAGCAAAATATGCACAAACCTAATTTTGCTTTGCAATTTCTATTTGCCTCTGCCAAAGACACACTTCTCAGGAATAATACTGTATATAAATCCCTTTATAATGCTGGTGCTTGAGGTAAGGATGTTCCAGCCAGATAAGCAGAAGAAGCCAGCCTTTTTAGGAGATCAATGTGTTATAACAGATTTTGACTGAATATGGTAGTTGTGTTTGGGGAAAAAATAGAATCAGGGTGTTTTCACAGATAAAAAGAACTTTACTCTCCATCCAGTCTCAATTTTACAGAAAAAGAAATTGAAGTTCTCAAAGGTTAAGTTGATTTCTCAAGGTCACATAGCTCATTAGTGGCAAATGTGGAACTTGAACTCAAATTTTCAGATTGGGGCCACAGTATCATACAACCTAATTTGACCCAGCACACATAAATATCTGATGACTAGCTAGTGCATCAATGAGTTCCTACTGAGTCTGTTCGGCTTTTGGCAAAATAGCTGCTTAATTGGAGCTATAATACTTTCTATAAAGTAAAATATATCTTAAAGTCTATGGGAGGTCTCTTCAGAGTTTAAGAATATAGGATCATCTTAGGGGAAGAGGCAAATCCAAATGCAGTTTTACTTTCTTCAACTGCACTAGATGTCATTCCTCCTAGGTTTTGCGTAACTTCTTCTTTGACACTGTAAGTCTGAGGTTAAGAATATAGGGTTTAGAGAAGCAAAAAATCAGTCATCTCCACTGCACACATGGCCCTAAGATTTTTAAAATTGCAGATATTAGGAGCAACTTTGGATAAAATCACAGTACAGAAATCAGATGTGCAAGGATTACATTTTTTCTATAATTGATTGTATTTATTTTTTAAATTCCTTTGAAATTTTATTTATGTTTTATTTTTATAGATTTAGAGGTACGAGTGCAGTTTTGTTACATGGATATATTGCACAGTGCTCAAGTCTGGGTTTTTAGTATACCCATCATCCAAATAGTAAACACTGAATATACATTAGTTCTCAGCACCACATCGCAGTTATTCCAAAACTGACCACATAGTTGGAAGTAAAGCACTCCTCAGCAAATGTAAAAAACAGAAATCACAACAGTCTCTCAAACCACAGTGCAATCAAATAAGAACTCAGGATTAAGAAACTCACTCAAAACCGCACAACTACATGGAAACTGAACAACCTGCTCCTGAATGACTACTGGGTACATAACAAAATGAAGGCGGAAATAAAGATGTTCTTTGAAACCAATGAGAACAAAGACACAATGTACCAGAATCTCTGGAACACATTTAAAGCAGTTGTGTAGAGGGAAATTTATAGCAATAAATACTCACAAGAGAAAGCAGGAAAGATCTAAAATGGACACCCTAACCCACAATTAAAAGAACTAGAGAAGCAAGAGCAAACAAATTCAAAAGCTGGCAGAAGGCAAGAAATAACTAAGATTAGAGCAGAACTGAAGGAGATAGAAACACAAAAAAAGTTTAAAAAAATCAATGAATCCAGGAGCTGGTTTTTTGAAAAGATCAACAAAATAGACCACTAGCAAGACTAATAAAGAAGGAAAGAGAGAAGAATCAAGTAGACGCAATAAAAAATGATAAAGGGATATCACCACCGATCCCACAGAAATACAAACTACCATCAGAGAATACTATAAACACCTCTATGCAAATAAACTAGAACATCTATAAGAAATTGATAAATTCCTGGACACATACACCCTCCCAAGACTAAACCAGGAAGAAGTTGAATCCCTGAATAGACCAATAAGAGGTTCTGAATTTGAGGCAATAATTAAGAGCCTACAAACCAAAAAATGTCTAGGACCAGATGGATTCACAGCTGAATTCTACCAGAGGTACAAAAAGGAGCTGGTACCATTCCTTCTGAAACTATTCCAATCAATAGAAAAAGAGGGAATCCTCCCTAACTCATTTTATGAGGCCAGCATCATCCTGATACCAAAGCCTGGCAGAGACACAACCAAAAAAGAGAATTTTAGACCAATTTCCCTGATGAACATCAATGCGAAAATCCTCAATAAAATACTGGCAAACCGAATCCAGCAGCACATCAAAAAGCTTATCCATCATGATCAACTTGGCTTCATCCCTGGGATGCAAGCCTGGTTCAATATACACAAATCAATAAAGGTAATACATCACATAAACAGAACCAAAGACAAAAACCACATGATTATCTCAATAGATGCAGAAAAGGCCTTCAACAAAATTGAACAGCCCTTCATGCTAAAAACTCTCAATAAACTAGGTATTGATGGACCATATTTCAAAATAATAAGAGCTATTTATGACAAACCCACAGACAATATCATACTGAATGGCAAAAACTGGAAGCATTCCCTTTGAAAACTGGCGCAAGACAGGGATACCCTCTCTCACCACTCCTATTCAGCATAGTGTTGGAAGTTCTGTCCAGGGCAATCAGGCAGGAGAAAGAAATAAAGGGTATTCAATTAGGAAAAGAGGAAGTCAAATTGTCCTTGTTTGCAGATGACATGATTGTATATTTAGAAAACCCCATCGTCTCAGCCCAAAAAATCCTTAAGCTGATAAGGAACTTCAGCAAAGTCTCAGGATACAAAATCAATGTACAAAAATCACAAGCATTCCTATACACCAATAACAGACAAACAGAGAGCCAGATCATGAGCGAACTCCCATTCATAATTGCTACAAAGGGAATAAAATACCTAGGAATCCAAGTTACAAGGGATGTGAAGGACCTCTTCAGGGAGAACTACAAACCACAGCTCAATGAAATAAAAGAGGACATAAACAAATGGAAGAAAATTCCATGCTCATGGATAGGAAGAATCAATATCATGAAAATGGCCATACTGCCCAAGGTAATTTATAGATCCAATGCCATCCCCATCAAGCTACCAATGACTTTCTTCACAGAACTGGAAAAAACTACTTTAAAGTTCATATGGAACCAAAAAAGAGCCCACATTGCCACGACAATCCTAAGCCAAAAGAACAAAGCTGGAGGCATCACGCTACCTGACTTCAAACTATACTACAAGGCTACAGTAACCAAAACAGCATGGTACTGGTACCAAAACAGAGATATAGACCAATGGAACAGAACAGAGCCCTCAGAAATAACACTACTTATTTACAACCATCTGATCTTTGACAAACCTGATAAAAATAAGAAATGGAGAAAGGATTCCCTATTTAATAAATGGTGGTGGCTAGCCATATGTAGAAAGCTGAAACTGGATCCCTTCCTTACACCTTACACAAAAATTAATTCAAGATGGATTAAAGACTTAATTGTTAGACGTAAAATCATAAAAACCCTACAATAAAACCTAGGCAATACCATTCAGGACATAGGCATGTGCAAGGACTTCATGACTAAAACACCAAAAGCAATGGCAACAAAAGCCAAAATAGACAAATGAGATCCAATTAAACTAAAGAGCTTGCGCACAGCAAAAGAGACTGCCATCAGAGTGAACAGGCAACCTATAGAATAGGAGAAAATTTTTGCAATCTACCCATCTGACAAAGGACTAATATTCAGAATCTACAAAGAACTTAAACAAATTTACAAGAAAAAATCAAACAACCCCATCAGAAAGTGAGCAAAGGATATTAACAGACACTTTTCAAAAGAAGACGTTTATGCAGTCAACAGACACATGAAAAAAATGCTCATCATCACTGGTCATCAGAGAAATGCAAATCAAAACCACAATGAGATACCATCTCACACCAGTTAGAATGGCAATCATTAAAAAGTCAGGAAACAACAGGTGCTGCAGAGGATGTGGAGAAATAGGAACGCTTTTACACTGTTGGTGGGACTGTAAACTAGTTCAACAATTGTGGAAGACAGTATGGTAATTCCTCAAGGATCTAGAACTAGAAATACCATTTGACCCAGCCATCCCATTACTGGGTATATACCCAAGGGAGTACAAATCACGCTACTATAAAGACACATGCACACATCTGTTTATTGCAGCATTATTCACAATGGCAAAGACTTGGAACCAACCCAAATGTCCACCAATGATAGACTGGATTAAGAAAATGTGACACATATACACCATGGAACACTATGCAGCCATAAAAAAGGATGAGTTCATGTCCTTTGTAGGGACATGGATGAAGCTGGAAAGCATCATTCTGAGCAAACTATTGCAAGGACAGAAAACCAAACACTGCATGTTCTCACTCATAAGTGGGAATTGAACAATGAGAAAACTTGGACACAGGGCAGGGAACATTACACACCAGGGCCTGTTGTGGGGTAGGGGGATGGGGGAGGGATAGCATTGGGAGAAATACCTAATGTAAATGACGAATTAATGAGAGCAGCAAACCAACATGGCACGTGTATAAATATGTAACAAACTTGCACGTTGTGCACATGTACCCTAGAACTTAAAGTATAATAATAAAAAAAGTAAACATTGTACCTAATGAGTAATTTTCATCCCTTACCCCCTTCCTAGCCTCCCACCTTTACATCTCTAATGTCTATTATTCCATTATGTATGTTCATGTGTATCCATTGCTGAGCTCACCTTTGCAAGTGAGAGCATGTAGTATTTGACTTTCTGTTTGTGATTTATTTCACTTAGGATAATGGCCTTCAGTTGCATCCATGTTGCTGAAAATGACATAATTTCATTCTTTTTATGGCTGAGTAGTATTCTGGGTATGTATATATCACATTTTCTTTATCCAGTCATCTGTTGATGGACACTTAGGTTGATTTCATAACATTGCTATTGTGCAAAGTGCTGCAATAAACATATGAGCTCAGGTGTCTTTTTTTCTTAATGATTTCTTTTCCTTTTGGTAGATACCAAGTAGTGGGATTGCTGGATCAAATGGTAGTTCTATTTTTAGCTCTTTGAGAAATCTCCATATTGCTTTTGATAGGGGTTGTGCTAATTTACATTCCCACTGCGTATAAGCCTTCATTTTCTTCACATGCTTGCCAACATCTCCTGTTTTCTAATTTTTTTTGTGTAATACCCACTCTAACTGGTGTGATATTGTATCTTATTGTGGTTTTAATCTGTGTTTCTCTGATGATTAGTGATGTTGAGCATTTTTTTCCTATGTTTCTTGGCCACTTGTATGTCTTCTTTTGAAAAGTATATGTTCATATCTTTTGCCCACTTTTTGATGGAGTTGTGTGTTTTTTTCTTACTGAGTTGTTTGAGTTTCTTGTAGATATTGGATATTAGTCCTTTGTTGGGTGTGTAGTTTGCAAATATTTTATCCCATTCTTTAGGTTGTCTATTTGTTGATTATTTCTTTTGTTATGCAGAAGCATTTTAGTTTAATTAAGTCACATTTGTCTATTTTTGGTTTTGTTGCATTTGCCGTTGAGGTCTTAGTCGTAAATGATTTGCCTAGGCCAATGTCCGGAAGAGTTTTTCCTAGGTTTTCTTCTAGGATTTCTATAGTTTCAGTTCTTACATTTAAGTCTTTAATCCATCTTGTGTTAATTTTTTGTAATTTTTATTATTTGTTATGAGTCCCAATTCTAAGAGTTATGTAAAATTCAGTCTTGGTCAATTGACCTTCTCTATTCATTTCCTGAATCACAAACAGGTTACAATGGCTTACTCATTGATACTGGGTAGAACAGGAGTAGAAGGGTGAGGGTGAAGGTGTGATGGGTTTTAGGAAGAGAAAAATTGTCATTGGCTGAGACATTCTTGTTATATCTTGCCTTTACTAATTGGTTCGTTTAGACTTCTCCTGAATGCTCCTGCTCCCTACCTGTCACCAATTACTTAAATGCCACTTAAGTTCCACTGATTGGGTGACAAAGATGGGTCTCCCACTGATGAATATTATCTGTTGCAACACTCCCAAAAATACCCCCTAAAATGTTCACTAGATAGCCCTGTCTACTCTGGGATCATGTGGCTTTTTCACAATGTATTATGTAATTCGGTGCTGACCCACATCTCCTCTGCCCTCAGATCCCCAAACCTATTATTGGTTTCTTCTCACCACCATCCCTAGGGATTCATAGAGAGTAGACACTGGTAAACCATCAGCCTCTAAACTGTTTTTAATTCCCTCACTAACACTTCTTCACCCACTGAGATTATAACTGAACCTGAGGCTGGCATAGTCTGGCAATTCATGTATGTTCCAAATCTGGTTTTTAAACCGGAATTATATTAGAATGTAAAGTTTTGCAACCCCAAAATCATTTATCGGGTTTTCTACAAAAGCAACTGTTTGAGGAGTAAGAGCAAGAGATACATGAAAACTGAGTTTTTGCTTTTGTTTTTTTTTGTGTGTTTTTATTTTTGCCCATATGTGCACTAATTTTTATTTGCTGTACATATTCAACTGAATATTTCCATTTGTGATGAAAACACGTTAATTTGCTGTAAGATGTTTGTTTTCTCAGCAGTGTCATTTGGGTGGCCCCTCTAAGCTACTGAATAATTTTTCAATAAACTTTTAATTTTAGACAATCTGAAAATATAGTACAGTGGTTTCACATTTACCCCATGCCTAGTATCCACTCTTGTTATCATGTTACATCACTATAGTGCCTCTGTCACAACTAGTAAAGTAATATTGGCAGGTTATAATAAACTAAACCATATACTTTATTCAGTTTTTCTTAGTTTTTTCCTAACTTTTTTGTTGTTGTTTTTGCTCCAGGATACCACATTACTTTTTAGTCATCATGTCTCCTTAGGTTATTTTTGACTTTGATAATTTATCAGATATTTTCTTGATTGTGATAAACTTGACAATTGTGGAAAAAAAACTTGTTAGGTATTTTGTAGAATGTTTATTATTTGAGATTTGTCTATTGCTTTTCTCATAATTACACTGTGGTTATGTGTTTCTAGAAAGATGACCATGGAGGTTAAGTGCCATTTTCAGACCAACAAAGCAAAAGTTCCCTTTATCAGCTTGACTTATCACTAATGATGTTAACTTTAATCACCTAGTAAAAGGCAGTTTTTGTCAGTTTTCTCTATTGTAAAGTTGCTTATTTTTTCCCTTTCCATACCATACATTTTGGAAGGAAGTTATTATGTATAGCTCACACTTAAAGGGTTGAAAGTTATGCCCCGCATCCCTGAGAACAGAATCTATATTAGTTATTTGGAATTTTTCTGCATGCATGGAAGATTTGTCTCATCCTACCCTCAATTAATTTATTAATTCAATCATTCATTTATATCAATATGGACTGATGCATATTTATTTTATACCATAAATTATCATTTAATGCTACATTATTTTATTGCTCAAGACATTCTATAGTTGACCATTTGGAGTTCATTTAGTTGGCTTCTGTGTCTCTTTGTTATATCCCCATCATATTGAGCACTTCTTTATTTTCTGAAACTATAAGATACTCTGGTCTCATCTTGCATATTATTCTCCCCAACCCTAGAATCAGCTATTTCTCTAAAGAGCCCTGGCTCCTTTATTGAAGAATCCTATCTGAAACCAAGATCTGTGTGCTAGATGTACCCAATGTTAAATGAATGATATCTCAGCAGGCAGAGCTAGGAAATATGTATTTGCACAAATAATTATACCTGTATATTTTCTATGTATTTTCATCAGGATCTATTAAGCTAAATGCAAGTTATAATGATGCCTCCATTTTAATCCAGTACCACATGGTTCACTCAATAAAGGTTTAGGGTTAACACCTAAAGGGAACCTACATAATAATAAGTATGAGGAAACATATTACTTAACATTATGCATGGTTGATATCATGCTGCTTACATATGAGTCAGTATCACCTAGTACTTAAGAGCAGAGACTCTGAAACTGCTGTACCTGTATTTGAATACTGTCTCTGCCAATTACTAGCTGTGTGACCTCATGCAAATTGCTTAATGTCTCTGTTCTTCAGTTACCTCACTTGTGGAATGAGGATGATAATAATACTTAATCTACAGAGTTATGTGTGAGGGTTATAAACTCAATCATATGTAAAAGGGCATCACATATGGTCCTCTAATCCATTGTCCATAATTCATACTATATTAAAATCTTATTATGTCAAATCATGCTTTTACGTTATTACATGAAAACATATTGAAATGCACATACATGAAAGTTAGCCACATATCTGTGTCATAGGAGTCACTGTTCTATTGGTGTGAGCATAGCTTCATTTTAATAATCAGTGATTATTAAGGAAAAAATGAATTTTGGATTAAAACATATATTAATATTTTATCAAAATCCAGCAAGGAGTAATTTTTGTGAAAATTATTAAAATTTTCTATCCTGATAATTTTTCTGAAGAAAAGAGCTAAAAGATAGTTATATAACAGGACTCTTAAAAGCATTACTGAGATTACATAGGGAGATAAGTGGAACAAAATGATAGTTTAATTCAATAAGTCATTTATTGTAAGATCTCTACTAACTATGCACTTTGCTCTGTGACTGGTCTGAATATACTCACAGGTTTTCTTTACAGCACTTTTATTTTAATAAATGTCTCATGTCCCATTTATTTCTGGTTTACTCCCTTCCTTTACTCTCTTTTTTGGAAAGTCTATTGGGCAGGACTAGCTCTCTCTGCAGCCTGATTGGGGCTGATGATGAGTAAGAACCATGTATTAGTCCATTTTTGCATTTCTGTAAATACCTGAAACTGTGTAATTTATAGAGAAAAGAGGTTTAATTGGCACATGGTTCTGCAGGTTGTATAGGAAGCATAGCAGCTTCTGCTTCTGGGGTAGCCTTAGGAAGTTTCCAATCATGGTGGAAGTCAAAGGGGGAGCAGGTGTCTTACATGGCAAGAGCAGGAGCAAGAGGGCAGGTGAGAAGGTGCTACTCACTTTTAAATGACCAGATCTTATGAAAACTCACTCAAGGACAGTACCAAGAGGAATGGTGCTAAGCCATTCATAAGAAATCCACTCATGATTCAGGCACCTCCCACCAGGCCCCACCTCCAACACTGGGGATAATAATTCAACTTGAAATTTGTGTGGGAACACAGATTGAAACCATGTTAAACCATATCCAAGACATACTCCTTGCTATGTTCAAATTCTTTAAAAATCTTCAATTACTGAATATATGCCATCTCTCCATTCTTTACCAAATATAAGGTTCTTGTACTCTGACTCAAAATTGTAATTTCTTGGTCAGATGCTAACCAACTCCTTGTAAGCTGAGTGGTGTTGATTTGTAAGGCCAGAGTCCAGCCTGTGCTTCTGTCTGCTCAGCTGTGAAAGCTCCCAACAAATGTGAGAGGGAATTTTCCGACAGACATCATTCTCTCTCAGCTTTTGGGCAGACCCTAACCTCAATAAGCATTTTAACTGTTACTCTTTTCTCTCAGAATATACCTGGAAGATTCTCTGTTACGAAGAGCTTTTTAGTGTTAGATTTCTTTTTTTTTTTCTCTAATAAACATTTACAGTTCTTAATTTTCTGACTATTTTATTCAATCATTTATTCACATCTGTTGTCATTTATTGTTTTATTCAACACATATTGTTAAGCACTAACATTGTAATAAATAATGTGAGAATACAGGAAGACAGAGCGGAACAAATTGGCTCTAGTGTAGCTTATAATATGTAAGAGGGGAGAGAAACACACAATGAAGTGTATAGGTGTAAGTTCATAATTACAAGTTGTGATACATGCTGGTTTGGAAAGACTTGTGTTATGAAAGAGGACATGTAAAATTATAGTTAATTTGTGGGTTAGGGACAATGTCTCTGAAACAGTGCCATTAAAATAAAACGTGAAGGAAGATAGGGATAAATTAAAGACTGGGGGAGTCATAGCTTTACAGGTAGGTAGAGGAATAAGGATGCACAAGTGAAGTGGGAAAAATTTAATGTTTTTGAAGAATTGAAAGGAACCCACTGTAGCTAGTGCACCAGGGTCAAAGGGAAGTATCACACAACTTGAAATTGGGAATATATTCATCTGCTTGGGCTTCCACAACAAAATACCACAGAGTGGGTGGCTTAAACAACAGAAATTTCTATTTTTGCAATTGTAAATGACTGAAGTTCAAGATGAAGGTCGAGTAGGTTTGGTCTCTGGTAAGGGCACTCCTCCTGGCTTGCAGAAAGACTCATTCTAGCTATGTCTTCACATGGCTTTTTGTCTGTGTGTGTGGAGCAAGAGAGAGAGAAAGAGAGGGAGCGAGAGACAGAGAGAGAGAGAGAGAGAGAGATATCTGTGATCTTTTCCTCTTCTTATAAGAACACCAGAAATACATGATTAGGGCCCCACATTTATGATCTCATTTAACCTTAATTACCACCTTAAAGACCCTATTCCAAATACAGTTACATTGGGGGTTAGGACTTCAGCATAGGAATTGAGGAGGAAAGAGCAGCACAATTCAGTCCATAATAAGAAAATGGCTGGGATCATGTAAGATTCATAAACCATAGGCACAATTTCATATTTAAACTTGCAGAGACATATTAATGAGTTTTCCATTCTATAGTATTACACTGTTGTAAATATTTAAATGTTTACATAATTTCAGCTGTCAAAATTTAGGGGAGTTTTTTTTTTCTGCAAATTTTTTTCAATAATCTGCATGTTCTCTGCTTTTTGAATCATGATTGGTGACTTTTCTGAATACCCATATTTTAAAATGAGAGAGAAACAAGTACAAACCCTACTTCTGCTTACCGCTTCTGTGAACTTTGGAAATATATATAATCTTTTTCAGCCAAAGTATCTTCATAATTATAGTGGAAAATTCTGCATCCATTTTATACATTTAGAAAGTACTTAATTCTGTGATTTCAAATCAGTTAGCATAAATTTTAAAAGTTCAACCATTTTGTATAAAATTGCTAACAGGTATTAATCATTTTCCTGTTTTCTTAATTTTGAACTTAATTAATACACTTATTTTATTTTCCAGTCTTTTGTGAAGCCCTTTTTCTCTTAATATGCTGATTATCTCTGTGTTCACTGTGTTCTGTTTCCTTGTGTCTACTTTTTGTTTTTTTCTTGCCTTTTCTTTCATTACATGCTATTACTTCTGTCTGCTTAATGAATGCACCTGCCTATTTTAGTTTTTTTCTCTACATGATCAATTGTTTCTTTTAATCTGGTTTTCACATACAAAGCAGATTATCAATCTTAAAATTATTGTCTGTATCGTGTTACATAAATTCTGAATTTAATTGTTCATATATATATGCCCACAGCATGTAGTTTGTAGTAGAATTTTTGAGACATCTATTTTGTCAATCAATATGCCTTTCATGTGACTTCCTTTATCGTTCTCAGTTGCTAAGGAGATACTACTTAGTTTCAAAGATTGATAGGGTAAGGTTAAGATATTTATTGCTTATACCATAATCATAATAAAGTAAACATATTTTTTGCCCAAGCCACAGCAGCTATTGATGCTGAGAGTTATCTTAAACACCATCTCATTCAACTTCCTCATTTTATTTTATTTTGAGACAGGGTCTTGCTCTGTTGCCAAGGCTGGAGTGCAGTAGCACGATATCAGCTCACTGCAACTTCTGCCTCCCAGGCCCAAGCGATCTTACCTCCAAGTAGCTGAGACTATAGGCACATGCCACCACGTTTGGCTAATTTTTGTGTTTTTGGTAGAGATGAGGTCTCACTACGTTGCCCAGACTGGTCTCAAACTCCTGGGCTCAACAATACACCTTCCTTGCCCTTTCAAAGTGCCTGGATTATAAGCATGAGCCACTGGGCCTGGCCAACTTCCTCATTTTAGACAGGTTGAAAATGGCAAGTAAATTGACTTGTGCAAAGATATACAACTAGTTATGAGCAGATATAAAGCCCGACTGGGCCTGACCAACTTCCTCATTTTAGACAGGAAGAAAATGGCAAGTAAATTGATTTGTGCAAAATATACAACTAGCTATGAGCAGATATAAAGCCCAACTAATAGGTTTTAATTAACTCCACATACTTGTGCTATTATCTTATAAATAATAACTTACTCTAGTACCGGAGGGTCTGTCTAACCAAAGTTTTAAATTTTATATGATGATGATTAAAACATATTCTCAAATCCAAAGGAAATATAGGTTAGCAGAATTTGGTAGCATTGATCTAGATAGCTATCAATGTAAATATGAAAGACTAGTTCTTTAAGGTTATTTTACTTTGTTTTTTAATTCTCAAGACAGGTCAGTCATACTTTTCTACAATAAATTATCTTTTCCTTTCTCATTTCAAAGACTCATTTCAAAGGACTGCCTTCTTGTCCTTTTCCAGAAAACTATGGGAATTAGAAAAAAGGAAGAATCATAAGAATGTTCATTATAGTTTTGACCCATTGACTTAACTATTCAGGACTAGAGTTCCTAAGAACATTTAAAGTATACTGCCTTGCGGTGTGTTGATTTTTAACTTACTGAGTTATTGAGCAGCTTCCTCTTATTTTTGTCAAATGCCTATAAATCATGACAAAGTCAGTAAATGAACCATATATTTATGGAAATTTATTTCCTGCTAATTTTTCTTCATAGTATCCAGGGTGTGCTATTCCACTCTGTGAAAATTTTATGTGTGCTATAGTTAGTAATGTGTAAGATTGAGATTTCACACTTATCAATATGCTACTTTCATGTAAGTTTTGATAGGTGAGGGATATGAGCTAAGTCTGCAAACCTGGATGTGCACACCAAATCATGGATTAGCAAATCACATTTTCTATGAAGGCAGTGGACCACTTCAAAGACAGAGAGGAGAATTTTTTGGAAGGTAAATTGTAGCCCATCATTATAAGTACTTTACGGGACTTTTAAACATGTAATGAAAAAAAGACTCTATGTTTTGGGTCACCATGTTAGAAAAGTTTTCCAGAGACCAAAGATAACAGGAGTCATTTGCAAATTAAAAGAGACTGACCAAAATGTATTAACATATATATAGTCATAAATATCTGAAGAAAACCGATGGCAAACAATATATTGCAAGATAGTATGGTATTATTCTGAGACAAAAAGAGCCTTAAGTATTAAGTAGCATAGAAATAATAGTCTTATTCAAAGAAAGGACAATCTGGAAATCAATTATGTACACAACATGTATGAGCTTAGCAAGATATAGTCCAGGTAATGACACCCAACAATGGTTGCCATCATAATATAACATTTGCATATCTTAAATTTTTATGGTTTTGGTAAGAATAATAATTCATAGTAGATTTTACAATTCCCAAAGGAAAATCTGCAATATCACATTTGATCCACACAACGATAATGTTTTCCAGTGACAGGTTAGCAGCCTTTTATTATCACCATTTTTAGAAGAAAAATATTTATCTAGAGTGGTCAATGACAGGATTTGAACTTGAACCTGAGTCCTTTGAGTTCAGAGCTCATACTATTGTATTCTATTTCATTTATTTATTCCAAGAGTGAACTCTCTTCTGATAATTCACA
Source organism: Homo sapiens (assembly GCF_000001405.40). Lineage (NCBI taxonomy): Eukaryota > Metazoa > Chordata > Mammalia > Primates > Hominidae > Homo > Homo sapiens. Next base: position 38,155,022 of record NC_000011.10, on the reverse strand, counting down.
TAAAATAACACACTTAAGTCTTTATTGATTAGTAGTATTTGTGTCCATGTGAACAAACACATATTGATATTTTTCAACAAGTTAATTGTGAAAATAGCAAAATATTTAAAGTCAAGGTTAAAAATATCAAAATACACTAAAAAGTCTTAACAAACACCAGTCTCTGTATTCACTTCATGCAGTTTTGTTCCTCAGAGGCAAACGTTTTTAACTATTTCATTTATTTTATTTTATTTTATTTATTTTATTTTATTTTATTCTCTACTCTCAAGGAGCATTCTTGTTCAGGCTATTTTTACTGACATGTAATTTGGATGATTGCCCTCTTTATATCTTTATTTTTTGCTTTGCAACTCATGGACTAGTAATATCCTAAGTCCCTGTCTGACTGAGGTTTCCAGCAGGGCAAATTCTAACTAGTAGTGGCCTCAGCACCTGAGGTTTCTCCTTTTGTTAAAGAAGAATTTAGTCACATACATTTTTACATCATTTGTTACTCTGACTAAATATATATAAGATTAAGGCATGATAGGAGTTTTTATTTCTTACAAATACTTTACATTCCACTTAAATAAACTTATTATTAAAAACGACTGAGTCTACAAGTTCCTGTATTGGATTTGAAAACAAGGAATCTACTTATAGTTTTAAGAGATACATTAAAATTTATATGAGAGTAGGTTTGCACTGCCCTCTATTCATTGTCTTACATTTATCAACAGATTGAAACTCTTGTTAGAAAATATTGCATGCTGATAAGAATTGAGAGGGTTCAGAACAGAAATAACCTTGAGTCAGTCCTTTATTCACCCTTTCACTTTCTTTTCTCACTCCTTTAAAGACCCACCACAAAGCCCCACAGATATTCAAGGGGAAAGCCTGCCACCAAGTAACACTAACATACAGTAAACCAAGCATTTTACTGCATTTTCTTACCACAAAGATTAGCTCATCTCTTTATATCCCAAGGTGTTTCAAAATCAAAATAAATTGCTTTGCATCTTACAGGCATTTAGGCGTTTTGTGGCTCTTTGGCCACAAAACTACTTAAGATACAATCATGACAGTCTGTTCACTTTCTTTGATTTCAGTATCTAATAGAAGTTGAAATTCCTTTCCCATATTTTTGAAGGCGTAGTCCAATTCTGGAATGAATTTATCAGTGGACATCAAAATCTAAAAACAGATGTGTTCAAATGAAAGAAAACTTCATGAGGCTCATAATCAATTGAGACAGCTGGGTAGCAAGATATAAAGATATAGACACTAGAAAAAAGAATATATGGCTTGTCCTTTGGCACACATTTAGTAACATGCCTTGGAATCCTGTGAAATATTAATGAATCCCTTTGAGGTAATTTGTTTCCAATGATTAGTCCAGTAGAGTCCATAGCATAAAAAAGGACAGAAGGTCTGAAAATAAACACTATATTCTGAATTCATAGGTTAGTAAAGTCAGGACTATATGAATTGTATATTTTCAAGAAAAAACCAACCCATTTTTTTATTTTTATTCATTTATTTTTATTGATATATAGTGTTTTACATATCTGTGGAGTATGTATAATATTTTGTTGCATGCATAGAATATGTAATGATCAAGTCAGGGTATTTGGAGTGTCCATCACCTTGAATATTAATTGTTTCTATGTGTTGGGAACATTTCAGGTCTTCCAGCTATTCTGAAATACGCAATACATGATTATTAAGTATTGCCACTGCATGCTGCTATGAAACAGTAGAACTCATACTTCCTATCTAACTGCATGTTTGTACTAATTAACCAGCTTCTCTTCATCCTTCCCTTCCTCCCACCCATGTAAATTACTCAGACTCTGGTATTTATCATTCTACTCTCTACCTCCATGATATCAACTTTTTAAGCTCCCATATAATGAGTCGTGAGAATATGGGAAATTTATCTTTCTGTGTCTTAACATAATAACTTTAATTTCATTCATGTTGCTGCAAATGACATTATTTTTTTAATAGCTGAATAGTATCCTATTGTGTGTGTGTGTGTGTGTGTGTGTGTGTGTGTGTGTGTACTTATTTTCTTTATTCATTCACCTGTTGATGGGCACTCAGGTTTCTTCCACATCTTTGCTATTGTTTTCCATAGTGTCTGCATTAATTTACATTCTCTCTTCTCTGTATCCTTGCTAACATCTGTTTTTGTTTTTGTCTTTTTAATAGTATCCATTCTAACTAAGGGAAGATGAGATGTCACTGTGGTTTTGATTTACATTTCCTTGGTGACTAGTGATGTTGATTTACATTTCCCTGGTGACTAGTGATGTTGAGGATTTTTTCTTACCTATGTATTGGCCATTTGTATGTCTTCATTTGAGAAATGTGTACTCATGTGCTTTGCCCACTTTTTAATGAGTTTTTCTTTGTTTTTTACTGTTGAGTTATTGAGCTCCTTGTATATTTTGAATATTACTCCTTTATTGGAGTAATAGTTTGAAAATATTTTCTCCATTTAAGGTTGTCTATCCAATCTGTTGATTGCTTCCTTTGTTATGCAGACGATTTTAAATTTGACTAAGTCTTATTTGTCCTTTTTTGTTTTTATTTTCTGTGCTTTTGAGGTCTTAGTCATAAAATCTTTGTGTAGACCAATGTTCTAAAGTGTTTTTGTATGTTTTCTTCTACTAGTTTTATAGTTTGAGATCTGATATTTAAGTCTTTAGTTCATCCTGAGGTGATTTTTGTATATGGTGAGAGGGATCCAATTTCATTCCTCAGCCAATTGATATTCATTTTTTCCAGGATAATTTATTGAAAAACATGTCCCTCCCCCAATATATATTCTTTGCCCTATCATAATAAGGGAAATTCAAAACACCATTAGACAAACACTATGGTAATAATTGTTGCAGGCAAGATTGATTGATTAATAGAAGCTCAAATCAGTGGGTGAAAGTTCCCAGAGAAACATAGTACTTGCATACTCTCATAGTATCTCCTTCAAGATACATATTAATTAGACAAATAAAAATGACAACCGTGCCATAAAGAAAGCCAACAATCACCACTTTAATTAATTGATTACCATGTGCCTCAGCAATAGTAAGATATGTAGAGATTAGGTACTCCAGGATATGATGCACTAAGAAGGGCGTATTACTTCTATGATATTCAACATAACCGTGAAGAAATCAGAAAAACCCACATTCTACAAAATACTTGACGAGCAATATTTAAAACTGTGACAGTAGTGAACAAATTGAGAATCCATCATAGATTATAGAAAACAAAGGAAATGACAATTAAATGCAAGGTAGGAACCGGAAATAAATTCTGAAAACATAAAGTGCCTAAGTAGAAAAGCCTAGTATAATGTGAATAGAAGCTATAATTTAATTGATACTATTGTGAAAATACTGATTTTATTAATGTGTGTTTTAATAACTGCATTATGGTTATATATACACACACTTGAACACACACACATTACAAATGCTCAGAGAATTATATATAAGGATTGTCTATATAATTTTGTAATCATCTATAAGATTCTGTCAAATCTAAAATTATTTCCAAATACAAAGTTAAAAAATGTCATTCTACATATTTGTAAATAAGGATATAGTGATGATAAGAAAATATCTTAGTATACTTTTCTGTGGTGGTACATTGTGCATTCAAGAAAATATAACAATTATACATCTCCATACATCACTAAAAAATGAATACAGCCATACAACTACCACCCAAGTCAAGAAATAGAACATAATTACTAGCACTCTAGAAGTAGGCCTTGTATGTCCTCCTATTTGTTCATTCTCGCATTGCTATAAAGAAATACCTGAGACTGGGTAATTTATAAAGAAAAGGTTTAATTGATTCATAGTTCTGCAGGATATACAAAAACATGTCAGCATCTGCTTCTGTGGAGACCTCAGGGAGCTTTTACTCAGGGCGGAAGGCAAAGCAGAAGGCAACGTCTTACGTGGTAGGAGCAGGAGGAGGGGAGGGGAGAGATGCTACACGTTTTTAAACAACCATGCCTCATGAGAACTCACTCACTATACATTACCCAGTAACATTACCCAGTAGGGATGACGCTAAACCATTTATGAGAACTCTGACCTCATTATCCGATCACCTCCCACGAGGCTTCTCCTCCCACATTGGGGATTACAATTTGGCATGAAACTTGGGTGCAGACACAGATCCATACCATATGACCTTCTAATAACTCAATCCTCTCTTCTTGCTAAAGAAAACACAGTACTGCCTCCTAGTCCTGTAAAAATTGCTTTGTTTTCGCCCTTAATATAAGTGAATGTAACCCTTTACTGTACATGCAGCAATGAATGAGAGTTTTATTTTTATTTTTTGTTTGGTTGGTTTTTGATGTGTAGCCTCACCAACTGTTGGCTTTGTAATTCTTTCTAATTTTAACCATTCTGGTACATCCAGTATTCACTATTATTAATGACATATTAATATGGCATGTTTGTCACAACTAGTGAGCCAATATTGGGGCATTATTAACTAAACTCTACACTTTATTTAGATTTTCAGTTTTCCTCATTTATGTATGTATGTACGTGTATATATACATATGTACATATATGTATGTATGTACGTGTATATATACATATGTACATATATGTATGTATGTATATATAATACACATTAAAATTGGAATTATTATATATGTGCACATATGTGCATATATATTCTAATTCAGCATTCCATAAAGAATGCCACATTACATTTAGTAGTCATATCTCCTTAGGTTCCTCTTTATTGAGATAGTTTTCTACAATTTCCTTGTTTGAACAGTTTTGAGAAATTAGGTATTTTGTAAAATGTCCATCAATTGGGAGTTGACTGATATTTTCCTCATGATTTGATTGGGCTAATGTGTTCCTGGAAGTTAGACCACAGAGATAAAGTGCTATTCTCCTGACATTAATTCAATGATACGTACTGTTAATATGACTTATCTCTGTTGCTATTAATTGAAATCCCTTGCCTGGAGAGGATTCTCTACTGAAAAGATATTTCTCCTTTTCCCTCATTTCCATACTGTACTCTTAGAAAGGAAGGCACAAGGCATAGCCCGCACTTAAGGAGTGAACAGGTATATCCCATATCCTTGGAGTAAGGATATGTGCATAAATTATTTGGAATTCTGAACAGGAGATTTGTGTGTTCTTCCCTATATATTTATTCATTTAATTAATGATGTTAGTACAAAACTCATTGACATTTATTTTATATTTTGGGTTAAAATACCACAGAATTTAATGTATTGTCTTGCTGACAGTGGCCATCAGGAGCCCTTTCTGTTGGCTCTGGTGTGCATTTAATGTACCCTAATCGATGTGAAGGTATTGCTTTTTTATTTTTTTAAGACCTTATTTTCTCACACTACAACAAGCGCCAAGCTTACCTGTAGATTTTCTGCTCTAGCCCTAGAATCTGTCATTTCTGTAAGAATCCTTCATGATTTTTTTAGAGGACAGTATTAAAAACCAAGTTCTGAAGGGGACAAAAAGACTGACTAGACACAGCCAGGAAGTGCCACCCTCACCAAGAGAGACCAACATACTTTGAGCAGCTCGCTGGTGAGAAAATACCAAGAATTGATAGGTGACATAGACAATGAAGCTGAAGTGGGAAGAAGCTGGGAAACCTGCATGGGATTGCCAAATACTAGAGCTAGTTCTAGGCCTGGAATGGTTCCTAGGGAAAGAGTGAATGAGGGGACAAAGGGACAGCCTACTCTCACTGCAGACCTTTGGGATCCAAGTAACAAGAGATTCCACACTCCCTCAGATCTTTGGAGTGGCAGAGGGATCTGTCCAGAGAGTAGACATAGATAAGGTTCCAGCATGCATGAAACCCAGGGTCTTTGCACAGAGGGCAGCTGCGGTGGAATGTAGCCATAAGTGCACATCTTCCAAGGCTGTCTATCTCTCTCTGAGTATCTCTAGCCTCAGCTGGCCACTGGGCCAAGTGAGGGCAGGTTTGGCTTCTCCTGGGACTAGGATATGTCTGTTCTATAGGCCTTCCTTCCCTCCAACCCTTCCCAGGGCTCTTGCCTAGCTGCCCCATAGGAGCAAGCACATAGTGCAGCCTCTGTTGTCCAGCCTGGGTACTTTGCCATCACCTCCAGCTGAATATTTTCTCAGTGGCCTGGAAGTACTTCAGATCCTCTAGCACAGCCAGTGACTAGTCCTGAGGTTCCAGAGGACAGAGCTGCCGGCTGGACCTGGCACCCCAGGGCTGCAATGTGTGTCTTGGGAGTACTGAGCAGAGTTCTTCAGCTGGCACTCAAGTTGAAGAGAAACCTCCATTCTTAGAATACTGAGAATGGTGAGATGCATAAATTTGTGGGCTGGTGTTGGAGTGTGGCATACCTCCCTTCACAGGGCTGGCCCGGGAAGAGTGTGACCTATCTCCCAACCAAGTCCTGTGCTCAAAGGGGCCCTGCAGCCAGGAACACATGAAAAAGAAATACAGTCATAGCGCCAGTGATCAGAGAAGCTCTCCCAAGGCCCAGGAGCAAACTAGTGGAAGACAATCTCTTAACTCACACCCGCAGATTACAGCTGTGAATGTGTGGAAGTACAAAATGATTGAGTACAGCATGGTCGAGTACAAACCTATGTGTCAGCGATTACTCTTAAGCACTGTCCACTGGATTGCCGTGGATAATTGCAACACCAAAAACATTCTGCCAATTAAATACCAATGAGGCTGGGTGCCGTGGCTCATGCCTGTAATCTCAACATTTTGGGAGGCCGAGGTGGGTGGATCACCTGAGGTCAGAAGTTTGAGACCACCCTGGCCAACATGATGAAACCCCATGACTATGAAAAAAAATACAAAAAATTACCCAGGCATGGTGGCAGGTGCCTGTAATCCCAGTTACTTGGGAGGCTGAGGCAGGAGAATCGCTTGAACCTGGGAGGCAGAGGTTGCAGTGAGCCAAGATCATGCCATTGCACTGCAGCCTGGGCAACAAGAGTGAAACTCTGTCAAAAAAAACCTGATGAAACCATTGGGAAGAATCCTGCCGTCCTGCCACAAATAAAGATTCTGTACAGAGCCTTGGCCCTCAAAAAGCAACCAAAAAATGAAGCCAAATTATGATAGTCAAGTTACAACACAGTTAAAGGAACGCTAATCCTCTCTGATGAGAAAGAATTTGTGAAAGATCTCTGGCAATGCAAAAAGCCATTGCAACCCATTACCTCCAAACAAGCCCACTAACTCTCTAGCAATGGTTCTTAACCAAACTGAAATGACAGATATAGAAGTCAGAATCTGGATGGCAAGAAAGCTCATTGATTCCAAAAAATGTTGAAACCCAGTCCAAGATATCCAAGGAATTCAGTAAAATGATCCAAGAGCTGAAAGATGAAATGCACATTTTAAGAAAGAGTCAAACTAAACTTCTGGAACTGAAAAATTCACTGCAATAATTTTATAATACAATTGAAAGTATTAACAGCAGAATAGATAAGCTAAGGAAAAAAATCTTCAAGCTCAAGAATTCGGTTCTTTAAATCAACTCAGACAAAAATAAAGAAAAATCAGCTCAGATAAAAATAAAGAAAAAAATAGTTGTATAAAATTAGCAAAACCTCAGATAAATATGGGATTAAGTAAAGAGACCAAACATATGACTTTCTGGCATTTCTGAGAGAGGAGAGAGTAAGCAACTTGGAAACATATTTGAGTATATAGTCCATAAAAAAATTCCCCAATCTTGCTAGAGAGGTTAACATGCAATTCAAGAAATAAAGGGAACCCTGGCAAGATACTATATACACACACACACACACACACACACACACACACAATATATATATATACACACCGCATGTATATATATATATATATATATATACACACACTATATATATACACACACATACTATATATATATACACACACGCTATATATATATATATATATATATACACACACACACACATATATATACATACATGTACTGTATCTCCCCAAGGAGATGAATAACTATGCAGTTATCAGATTCACTAAAGTCAATGTGAAAGAATCAAATCATAAAGCAGCTAGAGAAAAAGTCAGCTCACTTAAGAAGGGAATGCCATCAGGATTGCAGTGGACCTCCCAGGAGAAAGCTTCCAAGCCAGAAGAGGCTGGGAAGGTATTTTCAGTGTCTATAAAGAAAAGAAAATCTAACTAAGAATTGCATATCCTGTTAAATTAGGCTTCATAAGAAAAGAAGAAATAAAATCCTTTTTGGACAAGCAAATGCTGAGGAAATTTGTTACAACTAGACCAGCCTTACAAGAGGTCCTTAAGGGAGTGCTAAACCTAGAAACAAAAGAACAACACCTGCTATCACAAAAGCATAAACACATAACCCAAAGATACTATGAAAATACACAATTAGGTCTACTAAACCACCAGCTAACAACATGATAACAAAATCAAATTCTCACTTATTAATACTAATCCTAAATGTAAATGGTCTAAACACCCCACCTAAAAGGAATAGAGTGGCAAAGTGAGTAAAAAACAAGTAAGACCCAACCATCTTCTGTTTTCAAGAGACCCATCTCATATTTAACGAGACCCACAGGATCAAAGTAAATGGATGGGGAAAGATTTACCATGTAAACAAAAAAGAAAAAAAGAGGAGGATTCAATATTATATCAGATAAAACAGACTTTAAACCACCAACAATTAAGAAGGAAAAAGAAGGGCACTACATAATGAAAAAGAGTCCAACTCAACAAGAAGATTTAACTATCCTGAATAAATATACACCCAACACTGGAGCACTCATATTCATTAAACAAGTCCCTCGTGACTTACAAAAACAAACAGTCCCACAATATTAGGGAGAGGTTTCAATACCCACTAACAGTGTTAGACAGATTATTGAGGCAGAACACTAAAAAAGAAATGCTAGACATAAACTCAACACTTAACCAAGTGGACCTGATAGACATCTACAGAATACCCAACAATCACAGAATATATATTCTCATGTGTACATGGAACATATTCTAAGATTGACCACATGCCCAGTTACAAAGCAAATCTCAATACATTAAAAGAACTGAAATCATACCAAGCAAACTCTAATTAAAAATATAAATCATTATCAAGAAAATCTCTCAAAATTACATGAATACATGGAAATGAAAGAACTGGCTTCTGAATAAATCCTGATTGAACATTGAAATTAGGACAAAAATCAAAAACTGTTTTAAATGAATGAAAATACAAACACAACTTACCAAAATCTTTGGGTTGTAGGTAAAGCAGTATTAAAAGAAAAGTGTATAGTGTTAAACACCTTCATCAAGAAATTAGAAAGATCTCCAATTAAGAAATTGCACCCAGAGAAACTAGAAAAAGAAAACAAACCACTGCAAGGCTAATAGAAGAAAAGAAATATAAATAAGTACAATTAGAAAAGAATTGAACAAAACTGAAATGCAAACATCCAAGCAAAGTATTAAGAATACAAAATAATGTACAAAAATCAGTAGTATTTATATATAGCAATAACATTCAAACTGAGTCAAAATTAAAGCACAATCCCATTTATAATAGCCACAAAAATGAAATATTTTAGAAATACAGCTAACCAGGGAGGTGAAAGATCTCTACAAGAAGAACTAAAACACACTGCTTAAAAAATCAGAGACAATACAAATGAATGAAAAAAAATTTCAGGCTCTTGAATTGGAAGAATTAATATCCTTAAAATGGCCATACTGCCCAAAGCACTTTACAGATTCAATGCTATTCCTATTAAACTACCAATATCATTTTTCACAGAATGAGAAAAAAACTATTCTAAAATTCATAGGAAACAAAACAACAGCTTGAATAGCCAAAGCCATCCTAAACAAAAAGAACAAAGCTGGAGGCATAACACTGCCTGATTTCAAACTATATACTATTTGGCTACAATAAGCAAAACTGCATGGTACAGGTACAAAAACAGATACTTAAACCAATATTCCAGAATAGAGAATCCAGAAATAATGTCTAATATGTACAGCTATCTGATCTTTGACAAAGCCAACAAAAACAAGCAATGAGGAAATGACTTCTTATTCAGTAATGATGCTGGGATAACTAGCTATCTATATGCAGAAGAATGAAACTAGACCTATATCTTTTACCATACATTAAATTTAACTCAGTATGGATTAAAGATGTAAATGTAATACTTCAAATTGTAACAATCCTAGAAGAAAACCTAGGAAATATTATTTTCAATACTGGCCTTGGCAAAGAATTTTTGGCCAAGTCCCCAAAACAATTGCAACAACTACAAAAATTGATAAGTAGGACCTAATTAAATTAAAGAGCCTCTGACAGCAAGAGAAACTATCAAAGAAGAAGTAAACAGACAATCTACAGAATGGGAGAAAATATTTGCAATCTATGCATACAAAAATGGTCTGATATTTAGAATCTATAAGGAACTTAAATTAACAAGCAAAAAGTAAATAACCCCGTTTAAAAAATGGGCAAAGACACTTTTCAAAAAAGACATACAATTGGCCAAAAACATATAAAAAGTGGTCATAATAATTAATTATCAGAGAAATGCAAATCAAAACCACAATGAGATAACATCTCACACCAGTTAAATGGCTAATAGTAAAAGGTAAAAATAAATAAATTAATAACAGATGCTGGTGAGGCTTTGGGAAAAAAAAGAGAACACTTATGCACTGCTGCTGGAAATGTAAATTATTTCAACCACTATGCAAAGCAGTTTTGGGGTTTTTCAAATAATTAAAACCGAGCTATCATTCAACACAGCAATCCCATTACTCAGTATATACCCAAAGGAAAATAAATTGTTTTACCAAAAAGACACATGCACGTCTATGTTCATTGCAATACTATTCACAATAGCAATGGCAGGGAATCAATCAAATTGCCTGTCAATGGTGGACTGGATAAATAAACTGTGGTATATATATAGCATGGAATGCTATGCAGCCATGAAAAAGAAGAAAATAATGTCCTTTGCAGCAATATAGATGCAGCTAGAGACCATTATTCCTCGCAAATTAACACAGGAAGAGAAAACCAAACATCACTTGTTCTCACTTATAAGTGGGAGCTAAACATTTGAGTACAAATGAAAATAAAGATGGGGACAGTAGACAATAAGGACTACTAGAGAAGGAAAGTAGGGAGAGGGAAATGGTTTAAAAAGTACCTATTGGGTACTATGCTCACTACCTGGGTGATAGGATGCCTATTCCAAACCTTAGCATCATGCTATATATCCATGTAAAAATCGGCCTATTTACCACCTGAGAATTCATTATAAATTAAAATAATTCTGTGTGTGTGTGTGTATATGTTGGGTGTGCTTGTTCCTCCTAGGCCTTCTCAGTTACAGAGCAAGGAGATCTATGTGTATACAATAACCTGTATGTATCCACATAAATATACATATTTCTATGTGTAACATATGTATCTATATTAAGTTCACATGAGTTCACACTAATGTTTCCTTTTTGTTCTATCAGTTTTTGCCATATATTGTTTTGACATTCTGTAGTAAGGTACATAGACATTTAATATTCTTTCTTCTTGGGGAATTATTCCGTTTAGCATGATATGGTACTCCTCTTTGGTCCTAATATTTTTTCTTCTGAAATCCACTTTGTCTGGAATTATTATAGCTACTACAACTTTCTTTTGATTAATGTTAGCGTGGCATACTTGTCTTTATCCTTTTAACTTTAACCTCTCAGTGGCCTCATATGTAATTGGGTTTCCTGTAGACAATATGTCGAGTTGTAGATAGTACGTGGAAATTTGTTTTTTATCCACTTTGTCAATTTCTGTCTTTTAATTAGTGTATTTAGATCATTCATATATAAAATAATTATTGAAATATTTGAATTGATATCACCCATGTTTGCATGTTTGTCAGAGGCTCCATTATCTGCATTCACTATTTTTATTTGAGCATTTTACATGATTTCATTTTTATTTCTTATTATATCAACATAATTATTTTCTTCTCTTTTTATTGGTAATTGCCTTAAGTTTACAATATGCATTTTTAATTACTCTAAGTTCACCACCATTAATAGTATTCTATTTCCCACGTAGTGTAGGTAGCTTTCAGAGAGAGGCTACTTAGAGAGGGGATTTATAATTCCTCTCTCCAATCTCTGTGACATTTCTTTTTCATTTCTCCATATGCTGTAAGCACCAAATACATTGTTACTATAATTATTGCTTTAAGAAAACAGTTACATTTTATAGCAGTTAAAGAAAATAAGAAAATTAAAAGATAGTATTTTGTCTCTTTAACAGGCTTCCTTTCTTTATGTAGATACAGGTTTTGACCTATATAACTTTCCTTTCCTTTTTTCTGAAGAAAATCTTTTAACATTTCTGCATATGAGGTCAGCTACCAATAACTCCCTTTAGTCTTAGTCTGATAATAAGTTTATTCTCTTTTACTTCAAAGGATAATTTCATTGAACATAGAATTACAAATTCATATTGTAATTTTTTCTTCATCGTTAAACATTTTACTCCACTGTCTTTTTGCTGGCATATTTTCAGGTAAGAAATTTGTTGTAATTATCATTCTTGCTCCTGTAAAACTGTTCTTTTACTTTTAAATAGATTTATTTTAATTTTTCCTGTTTTTATTTATTTTTCTTCATTTTAAATATATTTATTATAGTTACCATTCTGTGCAGTAGACTGAACCTGGTAGATCTGGCAGCTGAGATTGTACTTGGCTTTTTCAAATATGTCCAGCTATTGGAATAAGACTGATTATTATTTGCCAATCTGACATCAATGTCTCTGTTCCTTTCTGCTACTGCTGTTCTTTCCAATATTAAAATTTTTATGAAAGTTTGAAACAAAAGATCTACTTCCCTTCTCTTTGATAGCATTTTATTCCTTTGTGTATGCTTGCTTTGTTAATTTAACATTATTTTATTTAAGAAAGAAATTTATGTATTTATTGATTGAATGTGTACCCATATGTAAATGAAAATTGTTTGGCTATTTGTATTAAGAAACTCCAAAATAAACACAACAAAATTTCATTTCTTTCTCATAGGTAATAGACAATCAAGGGTTGGTATAATAGCTCAACAGTATCAATGAGTACATTTCTTTTTACTATCGTGAACTGCTAGCCTGGAAGCCACCTCATGGTTAAATATGGCTTTTGAACTGATACTTCAATACTTGACTGAAAATAAAATACAATACAGACGAGAAGAATAAAGGGATGAAGAATCTTGACATCTCCCTTTTTAAGAAATACTGGAAATCATACACACACAGATGTACACCCCCCCCACACACACACACACAACCTTCTCCTTCTGCTTCATCAGTAGAACATATCAGTAAGCCAAGCCAAAATAATATTGTAACTGGATGCTACAATTTATTCCAGTTCACATAATAGTGGTAGCTGAAGGCATTTACCACTATATATGTGTGTATAATCATATATGTGTGTGTATAATATGTGTGTATATCTACAATGAAAATAAAATGGAATAAATACATTCTATATTCGCATTTTGGTTATGAGTATAGCAAAAACCACAGTATCTGAGGATAAAGTATTGCTTCAAGTCAAAATATTATTTTCCAAAAAGAAGAGGCAATTCAGTGTCAAGCACTTCAAATTTGTTAACTGTAAACCATAATATTTTGAAGCAAATTAAAAAATTAACTAATAGAAACTGAAAAATATTCTTGAGAAAAATTCTTGTGATTCAGTACTAGAGGAGAAAGATTAAAAATAATAAGAATGGAGAAGTAATAACCATATTTTAAACCCATATTTGGAGGTATGGTTGACATATAAAAAATATATACATATTTAATATATACATCATGATGAGTTTCAAGATAAGCATACGCCCAAGAAACCATCACTTCCATCAAGGCCATCACCTCCCAACATTTCCTCAAACCCCTTTATTAGTATCATTATTATATTTTAGAACTTATTTGTGGTAAGAACCTTTAAGGTAAGATCTATCCTCTTTTTAACGTGTAGGTTAAGTATACAGTACCCTGTCGTTAGCTATAGGCACTATATTGTATAGTAAATCTACTAAATTTACTTAATCTTGAATACATGAACATTTGTATAATATATTTAATGATCACTCTTCTGTCCACCACCCTCTCCAACAAACCCTGACAATCACCATTCTACTCTCTGCTTCTATGAGTTTGACTATTTTAGATTCTTCATGTAAGTGAGATTATATAGTATTTCTCTTTTTGTGTCTTAGCATACTCTCCTTCAGGTCCATTCATCTTGTTGTAAATGGAAGAATCTTATTTTCTTTCAAGGTTGAATAATATTCCATTGTATGTATATAATACCTCTTCTTTGTTCATTTCTCAATTGATAAGCATTTGTGTTTTTCCATGTCTTGTGTGAATAATGCTGCAATGAACATTAAAAGTGCACATATCTCTTCAAGATCCTGATTCAATTCCCTTGGATATATAACCCAAAATGGGATTGCTGGATCAAATTGTAGTTCTATTAATCTCCATACTGTTTTCCATGATGGCTATACCAATTTACTTTCCCACACAATGTGTCAGAGGATTACCTTTTCTTCACATCATCGCCACCAAAACTGTTTTTTAATAGCCAACCTAACAGATGTCAGGTAATATTCATTATGGTTTTGATATGCATTTATCTGATGATTAGTGATGTTGAGTACCTTTTCGTATATCAAGTAGCCTTTTCTATGTTTTCTTTTGATAAACGTTTATTCAAGTTTTTTTGCCCATTTAAAAAATTAGGTTATTTGTATTTTTGCTATTTTCTTGTACAAAATCCGTGTATATTTTGGACATATGCTCCTTAATGAATAAAAGGTTTGAAAATATTGTTTCACATTCCACTTGTTGCATTTTACTATGTTGATTGTTTCCTTTGCTGGGAAGAAAGTTTTTGGTTTGCTGTAATTCCACTTGTTTATTTTTGCTTTTGTTGTTTGTGCTTGCTTTTGGTGTCATTAACAAACTATTACTGCAAAGACAAATATAAAGGAGCATTTTCCCTATGTTTTCTTCTATGAGTTTTAATCATTTAAAACCTATATTTATGTCTTTAATCCATTTTGAGTTTATTTTTGTGCATGATTAAATATAAGGGTTGATTTTTATCATTTTGCATGCGGATATACAGTTTTCCCAGGACCACATATTGAAAACACTATCCTTTCCAAGTTGTGTGTGCGTCAAACCATTGTTGAAAAATAGTTGGCTATATATGTGTAGGTTTGGTTCTGATCACTTTATTCTGTTCCATTGGTCTATGTGTATACTTTTGTGCCAGAACTATACTGTTTTGATTACCCATTCAGAGGAACAAAAGAAAAAAGCCCCAAATAAATGGGAAGCTATCCAGTGTATTGGAAGAATTGACAATTGTTAAAATGTCCACAATACCCAAGTGATCTACAGATTCAATGCAATCCCTATCGTAATTCCAACAGTATTTAACACAGAAATTTTTTAAAAATCCTAAAATTCCTGAGATAAGGATGTGTGATACCTCCAGCTTTGCTCTTGCTCAACATTGCTTTGACTATTTGCTTTTGTTTGAGAGAGAGTAGAGGGTTTCAAATTAATTTTATGATTTTTTTATTTCTGTAAAAAATGCTATTTGAATTATGATGGAGATTGCATTGAATCTGTAAGTCACTTTGAGTAGTATGTACAATTTAGCTATTATCAATTCTTCCACCACATCAGATATCTTTCCATTTTGGGGGGTCTAGTATATTTTTTAATCAATATTTTATAATTTTAAAATAATATTTTATAAAATTAAAATCAATATTTTAATCAATATTTTATAATGTACAATTTAGCTATTGTCAATTCTTCCACCACATCGATATCTTTCCATTTTCGGGGGTCTAGTATATTTTTTAATCAATATTTTATAACTTTAAGTGCACATATTTTTCATCTGCTTGGTCAAATATATACCTAAGTATTTTATTCTTTTTGAGGCTATTATAAGTGGGATTGTTTTCTTGATTTCTTTTTAGGGTAATTTGTTTTCATGTAGAAAGATGCTACCAATTTTTGTAGGTTGATTTTGTATCTTACAACTTTACTGTATTTATTAGTTTTAAGATTTTGGTAGAGTCTTTAGTGTTTTCAATATATAAGATTATGTCAAGGGTGCATAAAAATTTATTTTCTTTCTTGAATTTGAATGCCTTTTATTTCTTTTTTTATTTTCTAATTATTCTGGCTAGGACGTCCAATACTATGTTGAATAGAAGTGGTGAGAGTAGGTATCCTTATCTTGCTCCTCATCATAGAGGAAAACCTTACAGGTTTTCATTATTGTATAATGTTTGTTGTGGGCTTATTACATATGACCTTTATAATGGTAAGATATATTCCTTTTATATCTAATTTGTTGACAGCTTTTATTACAAAAAGGCATTGAATTTTGTTAAATATATTTTTATGATTATTGAGTTTACTATATGATTTTTCTCAGTCATTCTGTTAATATGGTGTATTACATTGATAGATTTGTTTATGTTAAACCATCCTTGCATCTCAGGGATAAATCCCACTTGATCAAGGTTTATAAACCTTTCAGTTTGCTATTGAATCAGTTTGTTAGTATTTTGTTGAGGATTTCACAACTATGTTCAACAGGAATATTGACCTATAATTTTTTTGTCATGCCCTCAATCTATTTGGAGATTTTTGAGCTACATAGATCTGTATGTTCATTTCTTTGGTTTTGGAAAGTTTTGTGTTACTTCTTCAAATGATCTTTATACTTTTATCTCTTTCTCTCTCTGTTCCTTCTGAGATTCCCATAATATGTATATTGGCTTGTTTGATGGTGTCCCATACATCCTGAAGTATTTCCTCTCTTTTTTTTTATACATTTTCTCTTTTGTTCCTCTAAATGGGCAATCAAATTATCTGTCTCTAAGTTTACTGATTCTTTACCTGATTGATTAAGTCTGCTATTAAAGCTCTCTATTGTAATTTTTTTTCTTTACTTCAGCCATCATACTCAATAGCTCCAGGATTTATTTTTGCTTCATTTTTCATGGTTTCTGTATCTTTTTTTTTTTTTTTTTTTTTTTGAGATGGAGTCTCATGCTATCACCCAGGCTGGAGTGCAGTGGTGCAATCCTCTGGCAACCTCTGCCTCGTGGGTTCAAGTGATTCTCCTGTCTCAGCCTTCCGAATAACTGGGACTACAGGTGTGCACCACCACTCCTGGCTACGTTTTTATTATTATTATTATTTTATTTAGTTGTCTGCGTGCTCTTATAGCTCATTGAGTTTCCTTGATTATTCTTTGATTATTTTGGATTTTTTTCAGACATCTCATAGATATCTATTTTTGAGGGGGTAAGCCATGGGAGCTTTATTTTGTTCCATTGGAATTATCATATTTCTTTGACTCTGTGTGTTTTTGATGCCTTGTTATGCTGTTTTCACTTATGAAGAAGAGCCAATTTCTCCTATTTTTACTAAGCGGCTTTGGGAAGGCTTTCCCCAGTGAAACTAGCTAAAGATACCGAGGGTTTTTCCAGTCGTTTTTAGGGATGTTAATACTCTCCTCCTTTTGTTCCCTCTTATGCAGAATGTCTCAGAATTGAGTGTTTTCTATAGATCATGGAAAACAAGTCCTTGTGCTGACATCTCCCAAATGTTTTCTCCAGGGGCGCTTTCTTCTACACTAGCAAAATCAAACTCGCTGCTATAATCCACACCTGCTGTTGTGCTTATGTGCTATCTGCGGGAGTCCATGACATCAATGCGCAGAGACATGCAAAGTCTCATCCATGAGTAGGGAAGTGTGGGGTGCATGTTGCTTGGCAGGGATTCTGCAGACAAGTTGGGGTTTATTGTTAGGCTCCTTTGTGGAGTTCATGAGCTGATTAGCAGATCAATGGCTGGCTGTTGATAACCAAGAGCCAGTGGCTATGCACTCTCACTTCTTTTCCTTGCTACAAGATACTCCCAGATAATTCGGTCATGTCAGTGCCATCAGTGTTCTGAGTGGAGTGAGACAGAGGTGGGCCCTCTGGGCAGCATCCTAAAAGGTTCGGGAATTTGGGCGTTGACTTTGCTTTCAGTTTCCTCTGTGGGAGAAAACTGTAGACTGGCAGAGTGGAGGGACTAGCTGACCTCTCTTGGTACCAAGTTGTGCTACTTTGGGGTAGGGGTGATGCAGGAAAAGTGAAACTGCTATTCTCACTCCCTGCAATGAGTTCACTTTCAGGTATTTTGTATTACTGGGCTACTGGAACCTATTAGCCAGAATCTGAGCCTTCTACAAAGGTATTCTTGTCCACAGGTCATTGTTAAAATTGCTATTTTTGTGGGTACATGAGGATTGGAAACTTTTACTCTGCCATCTTAGGAATGTCAGTCTCATTGAACCTATTTTTAATAATAAGAATGATAATTAGAACAACATTTTACTTATTTTAAACATTGAGGTAATCAATTCATTTTGATGTTTGTTATGTTCTATTTTGTATATATATGTATAAATACACAGTATACATATTTTTTCATCCAAATATTTTGGAAAATACTTTTTAAAGAGAATAGTAAATTTCAACGTAGTAAAAATAAGTTGTTGTTTGATAAATGGATTTTTCAAAAATTATATTCATTTACTTATTTAAAGAATGAACCTTTACTCTCAGAAATGCCCAGGTTTAGATAATAAATTGTATGGTCACCCTAGATATTGGTCGATGATAATGTTTTGAGTCAAATTTTGAATTATATCTATTTTGAGTTCTTTTTTATATAATTAAATACAACACTAATTATTTAAATAGTTAAATACAACGCCAACATTTACAATTAAATAAACACCAATAGGCCATTTATCCCAATAGTGGACTTTTGTGAAAGTCTTTTTATCTCCTCCATGTTAAGCATTTATCCAAAAGAACAAATCAACCTCTTATAAACTACGAATCAGGTTTCTACACTCTAGCCATGTTTCTAATTCAAATTTATATATTTGTTCATTCACTTTTAAAATATAAAAAATTAAGTGATACATTATTTGTCAAAATATGTAAAATACTATATTTTGTTTAAAAAAAGAGAAAAAATGCCAGGTACAGGAGCAAGTTTCCTTTGAAATAAAGGGTCTACGTACTGCTATTTGTTTAGAATGTGTTTACTCATCAGATGAAAATGTTCTGGATTAAAACAAATGGCAGGTGATAGAGAAAGTTTATTAGCCTAGATATGAAACATAAGTAGCATGAAATACACAGCTTGTGTGTGTGTGTATGTACATGTGTTTGTGTGGTAATGAAACAAAATGGAATTAGTGATTAGTTGGTTTTACTCATATTCATTATGTCTATGTAGTATTATCAGTTCTTTAGTCTATAGTGTTATCAGTTCTTCGTTTTATCTTTTTTTTTTTTTTTTGAGATGGAGTTTTGCTTTTGTCACCCAGGCTTGAGTGTAGTGGCATGATCTCAACTCACTGCAACCCCTGCCTCCTGGCTTCAAGCAATTCACCAGCCTCAGCCTCCTGAGTGGCTGGGATTACAGGTGACCGCCACCATGCCTGACTAATTTTTGCATTTTTTTTTTAGTAGAGACGGGGTTTCACTATGTTGGCCAGGCTGGTCTCGAACTCCTGAGCTCAGGTGATCTGCCCAACTTGGCCTCCCAAAGTGTGGGATTACAGGCGTGAGCCACCTTGCCCGGCTGTATTATCAGTTCTTTAGTCTATAATGTTGCCCATTTAGGCTCTACAGATATATTAAAAATATTCGTTGATGAAATAAAAACCAGGAGGTAATAAGAAAGCCTGTAATGTAAAGGTTTCCCATTTCTTGTGAAAGTAGCTGTGGACTTTACCCACAGTTATTGCTGCATCACATTCTGTTTGATATAATTTTTATTTCATCTACAGTTGTGCCATAATCACCAAATTCCCAAAGTAAAAATATGTTAGGTTTATATCATTATTTAAAGATACTTTAAATTTTATTTTCCTAAATTAAATTTTCAACTTGAAATATTCTTTTGTAACAGAAGGAAGAAAGTGCCATTGTATTTTCACTTTGGGCCACTATTTTAAAATATTGGGCAAACAAAGTAACAATAAAAATTAAAGCTGAGAAACTATGGCAAAGACAAAGTAAGACAAAGAACACTGACTTAGATTCTGAGATAAAAAGCCAGTTTTTGTTTGTTTGTTTTATTTGAGTTCTGGTATACATGTGCTGAACATGTGGATTTGTTACATAGGTACACATTTGTCATGGTGGTTTGCTGAACCTATCAACCCATCATCTAGGTTTTAAAGCCCCATGTGGATTAGGTATTTGTCCTAATGCTCTCCCTCCCCTTTCCCCACAATCCCCCGACAGGCCCCGGTGTGTCATGTTCCCCTCCCTGTGTCCATGTGTTTTCATTGTTCAACTCCCACTTATGAGTGAGAACATGCGGGTTTGGTTTTGTCTTTCTGTGTTACTTTGCTGAGGATGATGGTTTCCAGCTTCATCCATGTCCCTGAAAAGGACATGAACTCATTCTTTTTTATCACTGCATAGTATTCCATTGTGTTTATGTGTCACATTTTCTTTATCCAGTCTATCATTGACGGGCATTCGGGTTGGTTCCAAATCTTTGCTATTGTAAATAGTGCCGCAGTAAACATACACATGCATGTGTCTTTATAGTAGAATAATTTACAATCCTTTGGGTATATACCCAGTAGTAGGATTGCTGGGTCAAATGGTATTTTTGGTTCTGGGTCCTTGAGGAATTGCCACACTGTCTTCCACAATGGTTGCACTAATTTACACTCCTATCAACAGTGTAAAAGCATTCCTATTTTCCGCATCCTCACCAGCATCTGTTGTTTCCAGAATTTTTAGTGATTGCCATTCTAACTGGTGTGAGATGGTATCTCATTGTGGTTTTTGATTTGCATTTCTCTAATGACCAGTGATGATGAGCTTTTTTTCATGTGTTTATTGGCCACATAAATGTCCTCTTTTGAGAAGTGTTTGTTCATATCCTTTGCCCACTTTTTGATGAGTTGTTTTTTTTCTTGTAAATCTGTTTAAATTCCTTATAGATTCTGAATATTAGACCTTTGTCAGATGGATCCATTGCAAAATTTTTCTCCCATTCTGTAGGTTGCCTGTTCACTCTGATGATAGTTTCTTTTGTTGAGAAGAATCTCCTTAGTTTAGTTAGATACGCTTTGTCAATTTTGGCTTTTGTTGAAGTTGCTTTTGCTGTTTTAGTCATGAAGTCTTTGCCCATGCCTGTGTCCTGAATGGTATTGCCTAGGTTTTCTTCTAGGATTTGTATTGTTTCAGGTTTATATTTAAGTCTTTAATCCATCTTGAGTTAATTTTTGTATAAGGTGTAAGGAAGGGGTTTAGTTTTTGTTTTGTGCATATGGCTACCAGGTCCCAGCAGCATTTATTAAATAGGGAATAATTTCCCCATTCCTTATTTTGTCAGGTTTGTTGAAGATCAGATGGTTGTAGATGTGTGGTGTTATTTCTGAGGCCTCTGTTCTGTTCCATTGATCTATATATCTGTTTTGGTACCATTACCTTGCTGTTTTGGTTAATGTAGCATTGTAGTGTAAGTTTGAAGTCAGGTGGCGTGATGCCTCCAGCTTTGCTCTTGTTGCTTAGGATTGTCTTTGCTATACAGGCTCTTTTTTGGTTCCATATGAAATTTAACATAGTTTTTTCTAGTTCTGTGAAGAAAGTCAATGGTAGTTTGATGGGAATAGCATTGAATCTATAAATTATTTTGGGCAATATGGCCATTTTCACAATATTGATTCTTCCTATCCATGAGCATGGAATTTTTTTCCATTTGTTTGTGTCCTCTCTTATTTCCTTTAGCAGTGGTTTGTAATTCTCCTTGACAAGGTCCTTCACCTCCCTTGTAAGTTTATTCCTAGGTATTTTATTTTCTTTGTAGCAAATGTGAATGGTACTTCACTCATGATTTGGCTCTCTGCTTGTCTGTTATTGGTGTATAGACATGCTTGTGACTTTTGCACATTGATGGGAAAAAGCCAGCTCTGACACTAACTATGTAATCTTGGCCTATATACCTTACCTTTCTAAGTTTGATATTTTTCCACAATGAACCAGGTAGATAATAGTCACCTTTCAATATTGTTTTGACAATTTAATTAAAACTATTTATATGTGCCTGTATAATTTATACAGGATTATAGAAATGATTATTACTATTTTTTGCAACAGAGTTTCGCTCTGTCACCAAGGCTGGAGTGCAGTGGCATGATCTCAGCTCACTGCAACCTCTGCCTCCCAGGTTCTAGTGATTCTCCTGCCTCAGCCTCCCGAGTAGCTGGGATTACAGGTGAGCTCCACCACACCTAGCTAATTTTTTATATTTTTGGTAGAGATGGGGTGTCACCATGTTGGCCAGGCTAGTCTCAAACTGCTGACCTCAAGTCAAGTGATCCACCTGCCTCGGCATCCCAGAGTATCAGGATTAGAGGCATGAGCCACCACGCTTGGCCTAAAAATGAAATATTAATTTTCCAATAATTGAATGAATAATGGTAGAAATAAAAATATTTTTAAAACAGGAATTTTCATAAATACACCATTTTCTCCAGTTTTGCTTGAGAAGTATTTTAGCAACTGTTTGGAGGAAGTGTATACAAAAAAACTCATATATGTATTTATGTTGTTGTCGTTGTTTTTTAATCTCAGAGGAACCATCTAAGAAGAGCCTGCAGAATAATGTTCTCTTTAATTTGACATTTATTTTACATGTTCGACAAGCTGAAAGGCAAGTTGTGCCCTTAGTTATGATACTACATATGTAATTGTGACTTTCTCAGAAATTTCAAAGATAATGGTAATTTCTTCTTTAAAATTAGCTTTATTAAGGTATATTTCATATGCCAAAAATGCACACATTAATTGATGCACCTACATGAGATTGGACATATCCATTAATTGATTGGGATTTCTTTATAAAAATCATTCTTCCACATGGAATACAATTTAAATGTAGTTTCTTCTTCTGCCTTCCTGGCCCCTCATGATAAAGAATTGTATTTGGCTTTATGTGAGGATGTTGCTGAGAATGAGGGAGGGAAGAGAAACAGCAATGGCTTCAGAGTCTGCCTCATCTGTATCAGCTCTGCTATGCCAACTGCAAGGAACAAAATATAGCACAACAGTATGTTTTTGCTGGTAAAGTCAGCAGATGTGACTTAAAGATAAATAGGGACCAGATGTGATGAATTAGATAGTTTGCTTTTACATAGACAAATGTGGCTATAGCCATCATAATTGGGAAATGCTTTAGCTGCAGAATCTACTCTCTCTTGTAAGTGCCAATTTTATGTTTCTTACTCTCTTGGAAGTTCTAAAAGAAGTACAGACCGTGCCCCCAAACCCTCTATAAACTATCATCTGAGACTGTGGAGTGTTAATTTAAATAAAATCAATAAAAAATGATTTAAAAGGTAGGTGTTTCTTTTTACACAGATTACAATGAAGGGCATTGTTTTTTGAGTTTCTGTTGTTAAAAATAAAGAAAATAAAGTAAAAAAATAAGGAAAATAAAGAACAAATATGTTTGGCAGAAGTGGCATGGAAATAAATTAGGGATGTAACAGTTGTGTTGATGGAGCTGAGCGATGATAACATATGTTAAAAAATAAACAACTGTCCTTAGAGTTGTGGGGCTATTTCTGAAAGTGATATTTATTTCCTTGGAAAGTCTAATATGCTCAGACATTGTACTTCTGACCTTTCATTCTAAACACTCCAGGAAGCTGCAGATTAACCCGACCCTCTGCTGTTTTGGAAGCCTAGTTGAATCCTTTTAAGGAGAAGAAAAGGGAAAATATATCCCCCTTTACTTTGGTGAAATCTCTCAGCTGAAATTCCAAAATCAAAGGAAAAAAATTTTATCAATTCTAAAAGCCAAGTCTGTTATTAACGTTTGCTCCAATCCTTTAGTTAATCTGAGCAATGTACTAGGCCAGTTATTCAGTTAATTACATAGCACTGAATTATGCTCACCTTTTCCTTGTTTTAAAAGCATACACTGTATAAACCTAGACATAATTAAAACACTGAGGGTGTTTTTTTTCTTGACTCAGCAGATGTATTTTTATAATTCTGGAAGTGATGAGTGAGATTCTTCCTGTGATAGTCTACATCATCCTGTCATTACTCTGGGCTTTTATATGTCACATAATAAAGTAATCCCTTCAGACCATTTACCTAACAATACCTTCAATGTATACTGTCAAGCTAAGTGTAAGCATACAGCATTCAGAACACTGTTGGAGATTCTATTAGAACTGACAATAGTATTTTTATAATGCAAATTACATTGCAATCCAGAAGAATGTGATAAAATAATTTTCTGATTTATCACTATGCTTAATTTCTGTGAATGAAGACAAAATTTTATGAATCAAAAATGGGGTCAAAAATGCCACCTGCTGTCAGTGTTGAATTCTGATTCAAGCTGTTATTAGTTTTGTGAGTCTCCATTTATTCATATGTAAAATGAAGATCATAATATTTAGCTTGTAGGGAGTTGAAGAAGATGAGTCATATTATATATGGTATAAAGTATTTAGTACATAGGAGAACTCAGTATACAGTAGTGCACACATGGAGTCTGATGGTCTAATTCTGACTCTTACTATGTGTTTGGGGCAAGCTCTTTAACTTTGTAAGCTTCAGTTTTCTTATCTGTGGGATAATAACTACATTTTATAATGACTGAAGATTAAGCAAGATAATAACTGATGAAGTAGTTAGAATTGTTTCCTACACATTGTAAAGGCTCAATAAATGTTAGCTTTTATGGTTTTTTTTTGATAAACCTTAATTCTTTGTTTCTTTAACTCGTTATCTTTTTGTCTGTTAGTTGCTTACAGAATTTATAGTGATCAAGGAATATACAATTGGCCCACTATAGTCTGAGATCATTTTGACATCTGTGCATAGCTCTTCAAAGCCTGAAGGTTGTCTTTGGGCATCTGCATCTGCAAAAGTTACAATAATGCATTGGTACTACAATTCATAAACACTTTCAATGCTCAACTTCAACTATAAGGGAGACACATGCATTCAGTGTTCTTGTTCTGTGGGCTCATCCTTCAGACTTCTGTTGTTATGCATGAGATTATATTGTAATATTAAGTAGCCCTCATTCATTAGTCAGTACATTGAAAATGCATTGTTTTATGAAGTTCACTTTAAATTCATTCTTATATTGTATGCTGGTGAGATATGAAGAGCCAAAGTTAGGGCAATACACTATATTTATTCATGGAGTTCATTCAGTCCCATGAATCACTGTCTGAGTGACAGCCCCTTATAGTTCACATGTATAATTAATTTTTTAACTATGTAACAAACTTTTTCCAAGATAACCAATTCAAGTATAAGAAAATACTAAAATTCCAAGTTCAGAGAGCTTTATGATATATAAGATCATAAAAGAAAATGAGGAAGTAGAAGCTAGATTAAGTCATCAAGTATAAGTTACATAACTCCTTTGAATCTCAGGTTGCATTTCTGCAAATTAGAGATGAAAATAATACCTTCTCTAACTTCTTCACAGTGATATTTTATTTACCACTCTACCACTTTAATTCTCTTTCCACTTCAAGTCGTCTTATCATCCTCAATGACTCCATCATCTGATACAGATATCTCAAACAGTATTCTACTTCTTCACTCCCTCATCACAAGCAATTGATTTCCTTGTCACTACAGATTAGATAGCTTTCATTTGTCCTGATTCTTGTGTTTATCCTTTTGTAAAAAAAAAAAAAAAAACTTCTATAATCAGTGGTAAGTAACCTAACTTTTTTACCAGAAACTGTATTTCTTCCACCTTAATTTGACTGTTTATTTATATCTACATAATTCAGTCTCTTGAAATTTCTACTTTCTTATATTCCAAGATCTTTCGTCTTTCTTTACTTTCATATTTTTCAGCTAAGATCTTCTAGCTTATTATTTTGACATTTTTCCAGTTCTGTAAATCATGTTATTTTTCTTATTGTGTTCATCTAGTGAAGTTCCAAACCAAGATTCAAGTATTCTATATTCTTGCTTTGTGTATATATTATGATAGCAGGGTCTACTGAAACAAAATTACAGAGTAGAGTACACTAGCGATATAGTGTTGATGTCCCCTCCAAATTTTGTGTTGATATGTATTCCCCAGTGTGAGAGGTGGGTCATGGTGGGAGGTGTTTGGATCATGGGGGCAGATCACTCATGGCTTGGTCCTGTCCTCACGTTAGTGAGTGAATGCTTGTAAGATCTGGTTGTTAGAAAGTGTGGCACCTCCATTTGACCCAGCCATCCCATTACTGGGTATATACCCAAATGACTATAAATCATGCTGCTATAAAGACACATGCACACGTATGTTTATTGCGGCATTATTCACAATAGCAAAGACTTGGAACCAACCCAGATGTCCAACAATGATAGACTGGATTAAGAAAATGTGGCACACATACACCATGGAATACTATGCAGCCATAAAAAATGATGAGTTCATGTCCTTTGTAGGGACATGGATGAAATTGGAAATCATCATTCTCAGTAAACTATCGCAAGAACAAAAAACCAAACACCGCATATTCTCACTCATAGGTGGGAATTGAACAATGAGATCACATGGACACAGGAAGGGGAATATCACACTCTGGGGACTGTTGTGGGGTGGGGGGAGGGGGGAGGGATAGCATTGGGAGATATACCTAATGCTAGATGACGAGTTAGTGGGTGCAGCGCACCAGCATGGCACATGTATACATATGTATGTAACCTGCACAATGTGCACATGTACCCTAAAACTTAAAGTATAATAAAAAAAAAAAAAAAAAGAAAGTGTGGCACCTCTATCCTCCTCCCACTCTCTATCTTTCTCTCACTCCCGTCATGTGAGGCGCCTGCACTCCCTTTACCCTCTACCATGATTGAAAGCTTCCTGAGGCCATTGAAGAAACAGATGTCGATGCTATGTTTCTTGTACAGCCTGCAGAACTCTGAGCCAATTGAACCTCCTTTCTTCGTAAATTACCCAGTGTCAGGTATTTCTTTATATCAACGCAAGAATAGCCTAGTAAAACTGGTGTTACTATAAATTCATAATTATCAACCTCACATATGCTCTCAGATTACCTACAACCACTAATTTATTCTAGAGAAAGTCTAATCATGAAAATGAAAATAACTAATATTCTCTGAGTCACCTACCTATGGGCATAAGAGTTAGATAGTTAGATACATGCATACATACAAACATACATATAGGAAAACATATATGTGCTTGTATATATATGTATATAAATACCACTGAAATAATTTTAGAGAATTTGAATCCTACTACATAATACATTTTATAAAATATTAAATTTGAATAGATGTGAATTTAACCAAAGATAAAGACAATCTTATGAATTTGAATGAAATCTGAGATTCTTGGAAATTTTCTGAAATATGCAGTTGTCATCATGGATTTTAAACTATACACTTAGAATTTAGATACCACCAGTATTTAAGAAATTAACACATATTCCTCATACTCCATTTTCCCAAACCATCCATTTCCATAACGTTAGTAGGTTTTATTTGTGGGGGCTCTTGTAACAATAATTTCCCAGTTGTTTCAATTCTACATTTATATGGATAAAATGCTCAATAGCTGTTCTTTTACCTTAATGGCTTTATCTCTGGTATCTTTGTTGTCCATATACTTTTGTCTGGATTTTGTCCAGAACTCTTTTGTTTTTTTCTAATTTTAAAAAGGTATATAGGAGTGCTATATTGTCTACATTCTTACATTTTTCAAAAATTTTTAGTAATATTTATACATTATTCATATTCATACCTTGGAGCTTAGAACAAATATTCCAAACTGTATGGAATTGCTCAATTCACTGCTCAGTTTCGAGAGCCCATAACAACACCGGTGCATATTAGGAGCCCCATAAATATGTATTGAATGAATAAATTAATATAACAAAACCAAAGTCAGGGCTTGAAACTGTATCAGAGGTGTTTCCCAAAATGTTCATAATTACTAAAGTTGCATAGGAAAAATAATTAGTTATTTTGTTAAAATACTAAATAACAAAAATCTTCATAGTTTTTCTTTAAAGTTTGAATATTTAATGGTTAATAAAAAGATGACAGTTTGAACAACTGTTGCATTAGAAAAGGCTGCTGTTTAGAGACCACTACTGACAGCAAAGTTACTACCAAATGTGTAAAAATATCAAAAGTGTAAGAAAGTGAAAACAGTCATATGAGGCGATAGTAGACACACAAGGTGACTGAAGCAGTCACATACCTAACAACATTTTAGATTTTCTATGATTTTACAGCAGCTAATAGAGGTAACTTCAGACATATCACAGATAGTATTTTCCTGTGCAGTTAAGATAAACTATAATAATAGCTTGCAGAAGTAGTGGTCACTTCTAAAAAGAAAAACTCTTAGAGATAGGTCTACTATGCTCTCAATAAAGCCATGTAATAAGAAAGGAAATCCTTGGCACTTGCTCTATATTAATGATACTTACATTTTTGTGGCATGTTTTTATGAGTTAAGTGGATATTTACAGACACCGTCTTTATTACAAGCATTCAAGGTAGAATGGTTACCCATATTTTATAAGCAAAGTTATTGAGGCTAAAAGAAGTTTGTATCCTTAATGAACAAAAGGTAACAAATAAACATCAGAGGTGAGTTTATATTCAAGTTTTCTGATTACAAGTCAGATGTTATATTTCTCTGAACTTTTTCTTCTGATTTACAAGTAATTCTTGCGAATATCGTGTATTTATAATCACAACACTTTAAACTAGGGAAGCTCATTCTTTAATGCATATTCCAGATGCTCTTGATAAACATTAAAGACAGCAAAGTGCCCTAAAGAAAGAGAGATACTAGTTGATATTAGGCAAATAGTATTATAGCATTTAGTCATAGTCATTTCAAAATAATGGGGAAATATTCCATTATAAATACATGCTTTGAATTGATATAATTGTGATTTTCTACACAACATATTAAGATGAGCATTTATTTGAATATATATTGTATTATATACATATTTTGAAACAACTAGTAGACAGGCATTTTTAAATGTTAATCTTATCTCCTCACGTATCAATATCTACACCAAGAGACTTACCCATCTATAGAACTTGGAAATCTATCTGCTGGAAGATTCCCTAATTGCAGGCACATGCAGGTAAAAGAGCATTCTAAATTAAACAGTTGTTAATCCAAAGAGGACTTCCAATAATATTTTGGCAAACAATCTCTATGCATTTGGAAACATATTTGAAAGTAAATTACTTCTTAATTGGACATATTTTATTAGAAATTAGGCAAAGCAGCAAAGTTAATGACACATTGAAATGTAACTCCCCAAGTCCTTTTAGAGAGTTCATTTAATATTTTGCAAAAGGAAAAGAGAAACTTGTTTATCTAATTAAGAAAGGTAGCATCTTATCAGAGTCAGGGAACTCTGAGATAATTGACGTGCCAAGAGTTACTAAAGTGATTAATTTTGTTCATTGTTTTCTATAGTATATCCACATATTTAAACATCTGCTAATAAGTGCAGGAAGGAATAACTGTGTGAGTTTTCCACAATGATAAATCCAGGTTGTAACCACATGGTCTGAGACTCTTACAGTCATTTTCATTCTTTTTTATCTTGTAGCAATATTTTGTTAAGAGTCTCAGTAAAGCCTAGGATTGAAGGTTTCATTTCACTAGAGTTAGAAGCAGGTGGAATTATTCCAATAGAGTGGGAAAGAAGACATCCATGTCAACAAATTCATCAAGGTTTATTTTTCATTTCTTCCATAGTCTTTCTGCTGAAATATGGTCTGGCTGCTTTGCTGTATCATGGGGGAAAGCAACAGCACAACATAATTCAAAATAAACAGTTTCACAATCTCACATACATAAAGGACAGAAAAATATATCGTTGGGGTTGTTTGCTCTTCTAAATAACATTCATTAGTTTGCATTTATTGATAAAAGCTGCCTATTAGGTATATCAATCGATGTGTTGTTCCCTGTTAATATTTACTGAAAACCATAATCAACCTTGGGGTTGGTCTTCATCTCTATTAAGTTTTTGTAACTTAATCTGTATTTTATTTTTCTTAAATACAGAAAATGGGAGTTCAGTCTCTAGAGTCCCTTCCAGTTCTAACATGCTAAGACTCTATATAGATTTTTCTTTAATTTTACTTAAATACCAAATTCTAATAGATGAATCCATCAGAATCTGGCAGGTTATTGTTAATTCTATACCATTATACTTTTGGATTAAGTAATATCAAAAACCTCTTTAAAAAGTATTATTATTCTTAATTGTGGTAATATACACATATCATAAAACTTACCCTCTTAACCATGATTAAGTATACAGTTTAGTAGTGATACAATGATAGAGGGAGGAGGCAAAGATATTCTATGCAGACAGGGGTGGGTCCCTGGCAAAACCCCACCTTCCAGCCAAAAGCCTGAAACCCACGGCCCAAAGTGAGAACTTCTGTCCTTTTTCTGCTTGAATGTTGCCTTTTCCTAAACTACCCATGGCCCACCTTGTCCCCCATCTTGTGCCTATAAAGACCGCAGCAGAGAGAAAAAGCAGTTGGATGTCAGGAAGACGTGGCTGGATGTCAGGGAGAGGCAACTTGACTTTGGAAGAGAGAGGCAGAGAGGGAGTTTGACTTCAGGAGAGAGCGAACTGCCCTTCCCATCCCCTTTCTAACTCTCCTCTCTGCTAAGAGCTGCTTTCCTTATTCAATAAAATTCTCAGTATTCACCATCCTTCAATTCATCTGTGTGATCTCATTCCTCTTGGGCACTGGACAGGAGTTTGAAATGCACCGGTTTCAGGTACCCTAAAAGGCTGTCACACTGGCTCTTTGCCCTCACTGGAAGAAGACAGCCGCCCTACATGACGAGGCAAAGGGCTTACTGAGCTATTAACACTTAAGTCATCCGTGGACAGCAGAGCTGAAAGAGCATTGTAGCATGCTCTCTGGGGCTTCGGGGATCACAGGCAGTCCTACCTGGACGCTGCAGGGCCCCTATGGAGTTCGCTCCTGCCAGTGCCCAAAAGAGACTGGCTGGATCTCATACTCACTTGCCTATGCGCTCCCTGCTACAAGGGGTTGAGAGTGGTGAGCAGAGTAAATGGAGTTTGTTCCTGCCAATGCCCAAAGAGCTTTCTCCGGTTCCTGTACTTGTTTGCTCGCATGCTCCCTCCTGCGAGAAATAGACAGGGGTGGGCTGAGTAAACAAGGCACCCCTGCACCTCTGTTACGAGTCCCATGAAGGGGTCAAGAAAAAATCCTGCATCATCAGTGTTAATGTATTTACATGTCATGCAACCAATCTCCATAATGTTTTATTTAACAAAACTGAAATTCTACATCCGGTAAGCAACAACTCTCCATTTCCTGCACCCACTCTCATCGCTTGAAACTCCCATTCTACTGTTTGTTTCAATGAATTTGACTACTTTAGTAACCTCATATAAGTGAAATTACACAAGATTTCTATTTTATGACTGGTCTATCTCACTTAACATTTGATACAGGATATTAGATCCCATAGTGCAGATGTACTACATTGCCTACATTTTATATCTTTTGAACAGTGATTGAATTATCTACTAATGAATTAAACAAACAAATAAAAACCACCCTGAACTTAGTGGCATACAACAACAGTGGCTTGTTATTATTATTTAACCCTGAAAATAATGAAGTGTCATTTTTGAATCATTCTATTCATTAGATGCTAGGCATTGAAAATTGTAAGAGGAGAGGAATTAGACTCCCATATGCAAGAGGAAAGGAATTAGACCAACATTCAAAGAGAAGAATGCTAAAGGATTTGAAAATATATTTTAAAACCACCATAAAAAGCGTCACAAAGGTAACATGCATATATTTCATTGTCTTCACATATATTTCTATTATCCTAATTGCATTTTTAGATGTGTACAACTTATAAACATTTGTCTGATATTTTGATAATGGTCATTAAAGAATACTAAAATAGAAAACTCTCACACAGAATGTTGCTAGATGGCAAAAGCTCAAAGTGAAAAAAATAGCAATAATCTTCCCCGGTACACACCTCTGATTTGGAAGACGAGGGCCTTTCATAGGCTGACCCTTGCCTGATAACCATGGGTTATTATGATAGCAGGAGGGTAGGATGACGATATACCACAATGGTATAAAACACGTGACAACTAGGTGGAAGATGGTTGTGTCTTATTGCATTTTGCCCAAGTACTGCTACATCAGACAAATATCCTAAGAACACGTGATTTTGTATTTTGTACTTCTAAGGATTACGGGCTTTGGAAGAGCTTCTAGATATCTAAATTTTTAGCATTAATTAACTCACCATTTAGATTTTTTAGGAAAATAAAAAGCTCTTGAGCATTTAGCAAAAATGCTGAAGTGTAGAACCCATAGTGCAAAGATACTGTATTGCTCATGATATAAAGTAATTTCAAGCAAGTTAAGGAAGTGCCTAATAGCAAATTTGCAAACCACTTATTTGAATAGGTAATTTCTTTTATAATAATTTCTTTTCTCTAAAATATTTGCAAATAATTAAGAAAGCATATTTTCTTTCTTAATAGATTTTTTTATTATTGGAGTTATACAACTTAATTAAGAATCACTTATTCATAAATAATATACCAGTAAAAACTAGCCTGTGTTCTTTATTATTGATATCATTTATAGATTAAACATTTATTTATAAATATATGCACATATATTGATATATATATGTATGTGTGTGAAAAATATATATATTCACCATATGACTTGGAAGAACAAGGAATTTTTACATATTAACTAATGAATGAAGCATTTTCATTTTCATAGATAATTCATAAAACCACTGTGAATTATAAAATTAAAACTTAATATCCATCTAAATAACTTGTATAATATTAAGTAAGATTTAAATGGCTTTAAAATTGTGATTGCTGAGGACCCTTTTTTCATACTTTGGATAGCATAAATTTGGTATTCTGAATGTAGAGGCAACACTTAAATGAAATTTGAATCATAGATTAAAGTCATAATTATAGCATCTAATTGCAAGAAATCAAGGTATAAAGAATAAGAGATCAGTCAAATAAGGAGTAACATGTGCTGGGAATCTCCATGGTGCTAGGAACAGATGTATGTTACCTTCATTTTTCAGTTGGAGAAACTAGATTTGGACCTTATAAAACTTAAGTTGTTTATTCAGTTACACAAGATTCAAACACATGTTTGTTCAAGACCAATGTTTCACTAAATTTATCTACCTATGTTTTTAAATGAAATTGTGTGTAAGATCCTCATTTTGCTTTTTATTTTAAAGCTGGAGCCATATTCCTGTAGCTATCCTAAACCTTCTCTGATGACCATTGGCTTGATATTGAACATTTCTCGCGTCCCTGCAGCAATATTTACTTTACCTTTACACTGATGTTAACTGGACCCTCCACTCCTGATCACAACTCCTCTCCCAGTTTAGCCAAATTTAAGGTTGCTTTTGGTGATAGTGAGTCACTTTAACAAGTTGCTTAGAATCACTTGGTGCAATTATTTAAAGGGAGGCAGAGTGATACAAAGGAAGTCATATAGAGAATACAAAATGTCTATGCCTATCACATTATATCACTCAATAAAAGTTAATGCATATTATTATCAATATTGTACTTGCATCTTATTTAGCAATTAGCTTATAGACATAATTAGAGCATTTTCAAAGCTAATGTTTGTTTTTTTAACTGTTAAGAATATTACCATGAGAATTCTAAGTGCTTTAGCAGTCCAGACAGCCTGTGATTAAAAGGGTATTCAAAATGAAAGAATTCTTAAAATGCCCAGTAATTTATTACTCAATATGCAGACTTAATGTGAGATTAGTTCATGAAAGCAAAAATAATTTATGAGAGGATTTGATATTTCAAAAGTAAGCCTTAAAAATATCAAAAATTATTTCTCATGTAGATGTACTCAGAATGTGCTAAAGGATATTCTCCCTCCAAAAAAGACAAAACACTAAGGAATATAAATTAGCATGGCCCAAAACCAAGACATCCCTTAGAGTAAAGGACTATTTTCTAGAATAGAGGCTAAACAGAGTCTCAACAATGTGGCAGAATGAAAGGTCTAGAAATTGGTCAGAAAAACCTAGAAAAGATATCTCTGTTGGAGGAGGTTATTTAAATGTATAATATAATATTCTAACAGACTTGACAGTGTAGAAAATGTGTTGATCTGCATTTAACAGAGCTCTATAAGATTCACACAGCAGAGCTCAATGTACACATTTTATTTTAATAAACTATCTTAATTCCTTTCTTTCTTCTTTCCTTCCTTTTATTTTATTCCTCTCTGTTTCACCCCTTCCCTTTTTCTCTTTATTTCTTTTTTAATATTTTGATTTACACTGTAAAGAAAAACTAAAAATATTGTAAATTCAAAACTAATCCAGATAAACAACCAAAAATATGTATACCTGCTTGATTAACAGAATATGTACATTATAGCTGCACCATATTTCTTTATACTACTGAAACATTACTTTCTGTGATTCACCATAATTTTCTTTATTTTACTAAATTGCTTTATGTAGATATCTTAATGACTCATATTTTCCCCATGCAATTTACTATATTTAAGTCATACGAGGCTTTGAAGTTTTGAGTACGTCACCAAATATAGTTTTAGCTAGAATGTTTTGTTTTCCTGTTTGGTTAATCACATCTTATATTTAACAATGTAACTGAGAGAATTGTTTACTATGGTTTAAACAGTATTTATTCTGCTTTTATTGGCATCAGGCACTTAAAGTTTTGGCATCTTATTTCTCATTATTTAGATATGCCATATCATATATAGATTTAATTCTTAGGATATATGATCCATTTATGTTACTTCAATATGGATTCATCCTTCTTCATTTTGCTCAAACCTATTCCAGCCTTTTTTGTGCAGCCTCCTGCATTGGTCCATTGCCCAAATTATTTCATTTCTGTGTCTTGATCTTAGTGCATATTATTTCCATTCACTTATGATACTACAACATCATTTTATATTATCTTTCACTTCATTTTGGTCATTATGGTTTACATTTTCATCATCTCAAATCCAAGTCATATCATTTTTGAAGCAAGCACTTGTCATTGTGTGTCCAATTATAATTGTCTTCTTTTATTTCCTGTTATCTTGAATTCAATTACCCTTGTTATTCATTTCCCATCATTTTATTGTTTTCAATTTGATTTTCTAAGGCCCTGGTTCTGCTAATATTACTTTACAATATTTTTTTTCCTGATTTTATTTACTTGATTTTCATTTATGATTGTTTAGTTCTTATCTATACATATGAAAACTTCATCTTATGCCTTTTTGTATTTATTTATCATTGTTTTGATTTAAGCAATGTTTTTAAAGATATGGTATTTTTTTGAGACAGAGTTTTGTTATTTCACCCAGGCTGGAGTGCAGTGGTGCAGTCTCAGCTCACCGTAGCCTTGACCTCCCAGTTTCAAGCAATCCTCCCACCTGAGCCTCCCAAGTAGCTGGGACTATAGATGTGTGCCACCATGCAAGGCTAATTTTTGTATTTTTAGTAGAGATGGGGTTTCACCATATTGCCCAGGCTGGTCTCAAACTCTTAAGCACAAGCAATCCACCTGCCTCAGCCTCCCTAAGTGCTGGGATTACAGGTGTGTGCCACCATGCCTGGTCTAAAGATTTACTGTTAACCTCACTAACTTTTTCACAAGTTTGAATAAATTGTACTTGCTAAATTCATCTAACATTATTTTAATAATAAATTATATCATCACAAGATTTGCATATTCTTCCTTTTTATTCATATTTTTGAGTTAATTTTACTCTATTCATGTTCTGTTTGAACTTGTATATTTAGCTAAATATCACACCAGTTAATTGTTGGTAAAGATGTTATAATTTCAATATAATTCTAAATTTTCTTTTACTTTATGAAAGAAGTTTAATAGTGATTTTAAATTCACTTTTAAGTCTCAATTTTAATCAGTAAAGTGAAAAGATAGAATTATACTTTATTATTGATAGTAGAAAATTTTAATTACACCTGAGTTTCAAAGAAGTATACCTTATACTGACTGTGTGCCTCAGAAACCAGAGGCAAAGTGTTAGATGTGTGTAATGATTAAAATATTAGGCAAGATTTCTAATATGGTTTTGCTCTATGCCCCCACCCAAATCTCATGTTGAATTGTAATCCCCACATGTCAGGGGAGGGACCTAGTGGGAAGTTGTTGGATCATGAAGGTAGGTTTCCCACATGCTGTTCTCATGACAGTGAGTTTTTATGAGATCTGATGGTTTAAACCTCTTTTCTTCATAAATTACCCAGTCTCAGGTAGTGTATTAGTTTGTTCTCACACTGCTATAAAGATACTCCCGGAGACTGGGTAATTTATAAAGAAGAGGTTTAATTGACTTACAGTTCTGTGTGGCTGGGTAGGCCTCAGGAAACTTACAGTCATGGCAGAATGTCAATGGGAATCAAGGCTTGTCTTATGTACATGGTGGCAGGAGAGAGGGAGAGTGTAAAGGAAACTGCCACTTTTAAAACCATCAGATCTCATGAGAACTTTCTCACTATCATGAGAACAGCATGGGAGGAAAAGCCTCCATGATCCAATCACCTCCCACCATGTCCCTCCCTCAACACGTGGGGATTAAAACTTGATATAAGATGTGGTTGGGACACAAAGCCAAACCGTATCATTCTGCCCTGGCGCCTCCCAAATCTCACGTTCTTTTCACATTTCAAAACCAATCATGCCTTCTCAACAGTCCCCCAAAACTTAACTCATTCCAGCATCAACCCAAAAGTCAAAGTCCATAGTCTCATCTGAGACAAAGCAAGTTCCTTCTGCCTGTGAGCCTGAGCAAGTGAGTTACTTTGAAGATACAATGGGGATACAGGCATTGGGTAAATGTTCCCATCCCAAATGGGAGAAATTGGCCAAAACAAAGGGGCCACATTCCCCACACAAGTCTGAAACCAGCGTTAAATTTTGAGATTAAATCTTAAAGCTCCAAAATGATCTTTAACTCCATGTCTCACATCTAGGTCACGCTGATGCAAGAGGTGGGCTCACATGGCCTTGGGCAACTCCATTCCTATGGCTTTGCAGGGTACAGCCCCCCTCCCAGCTGCTTTCAGAGGTTGGCATTGAGTGCATGCAGCTTCTCCAGGTGCATGGTGCTGTCAGTGGATCTACCTTTCTGGGGTCTGGAGAAGCTCTTCTCACAGCTTCACTAGGCAGTGCCCTAGTGTGTCTGGAATTTATTCCTTCTGGTGGATTCTTGGTCTTGCTGACTTCAAGAATGAAGCCACAGACGCTTGTGGTGAGTGTTACAGTTCTTAAAGATGGTGTGTACAGAGTTTGTTCTGTCAGATGTTAAGATGCATCTGGAGTTTCTTCTCTGCATTAATGAAATTCAATACTGTTGAGTGACTTCGACAAATACAAGCAAAACAAAATCTCTGGAAAAAAACTAAAGATGTCTGTAATGCTTAATAAGAAGATCCAGGGCTGAAATTTTACATTTAGAAGCTCTATCTTTTGTATAAACATTGGTTCTTGGTCTCGCTGACTTCAAGAATGAAGCCGCGGACCCTCGCAGTGAGTGTTACAGCTCTTAAAGATGGTGTGTCCGGAGTTTGTTCCTTCTGATGTTCAGATGTGTCTGGAGTTTCTTCCTTCCAGTGGGTTTGTGGTCTCGCTGACTTCAGGAATGAAGCCGCAGACCCTTGCGATGAGTGTTACAGCTCATAAAGGTAGTGCGGACCCAAAGAGTGAGCAGCAGCAAGATTTATTGTGAAGAGCGAAGGAACAAAGCTTCCACAGCATGGAAGGGGACCCGAGTGGGTTGCCGCTGCTGGCTTGGGTGGCCAGCCTTTATTCCCTTATTTGGCTCCACCCACATCCTACTGGTTGGTCCATTTTAAAGATTGCTGATTGGTCCATTTTAAGAGTGCTGATTGGTCCATTTTACATAGTGCTGATTGGTGCGTTTTTACATAGTGCTGATTGGTGCATTTACAATCCTTTAGCTAGACACAGAGCAATGATTGATGCATTTACAATCCTTTAGCTAGACAGAAAAGTTCTCCAAGTCTCCACCCGACATAGAAGCCCAGCTGGCTTCACCTTTCAATCCCCCCTCTAAACAGGACACCCCAACTGCTGTTGGGAATTGGGTGATGACCACTCTAGCTACTTCCTGCTGGATAGGGATGATGAAGGGGCCCTGCAGTTGTAGTGTCCTCCAGAGGGGAACTCTTTAGGCCAGTGAAAGGGCCAGTGGGTCAGTCCAGGGGTCCTCAGTAGAAGTTGTTAGTTAAGCTCATTTGAGGTTCCATTTGTAAGACCATCTGTAGCTTACTGGCCTTGATCCTAGAGGAAAGAAATTTGACAAGGAGGTTAAAAATACAGGGCCCAAAGGTGAGTAATAGCAAGATGGCTGCCACAGGACCTAGAAAGGGTAGAAGCCATGTTGCCAAACTCCAGAGATTGGTATAAGAGTTTGAAAGGCGTCTGATTTCAGAAGCCTTTTCCTGTAAATGCTGGGCAGCATCTCATACTATCCCTGACTGGTTAGTGTAAAAACAACACTCTTCCCCTAAGAAGGTGCAGAGTCCTCCTTTCTCAGCAGTGGGGAGGTTTAGGCCTTGGCAGTTTTGGACAGTCACTGCTGCCAAAGAGTCTATTTGGGATTGTAGTGTAAGGATAGATTTTGTTATTTCTTGCAAACAGTCTGATAAATCCTTTGAGAGTGTGTGGTAGTAGGATAATGAAGTAGATAAACTGGCTATTCCAGTTCCTGTAGCAGTAGCCATTCCTAACCCTATAAGTAGGGGTATTA
Source organism: Homo sapiens (assembly GCF_000001405.40). Lineage (NCBI taxonomy): Eukaryota > Metazoa > Chordata > Mammalia > Primates > Hominidae > Homo > Homo sapiens. The sequence goes on along the minus strand of NC_000011.10, from coordinate 38,115,953 downwards.
GTTATACGGCTCTGTGCTGATGGACTTAAGCTTTGAGGGCTACTGATAGGGTCTGATTTCCTCAAGATTAGAAGTTAGAATAATTCATGTTATACTGTTAACTTTTAGCAAACTTTACTTTCATTGAAAACCTTGTACGTTTGGGATTTTAATTATTCTTTGCTATTAATAAGACCTTGCTCAGTTCATATTAACTTAGAATTGGTATAGATGGCTCCTTCCTTATTCTGTAAGTACTTTAAGGTTTGGCTGAGTGCAAACAGCTTGCAAGTTTGAGCAGACCTATTATCAGGCAATTTTCCTAACTCTGCTTCTACAAGAGTTTCCTTATCACCTACTCAATACCCATTGTGTCTTTTTTCCTTAATTGCCAGGAGGAACCATCTATCGTCCTGTCCTGAAGGGAGTTCCTCCTAGGTCTGGTCAGATCTTTGTATGGTAATTAAGATTTAGATCCCCTGTTAGGAAACCGGCTGGGTTAAGGATTTTTGATAGGAAGGCTACGGGTTGTCAGTGGCCTCAGTGCTTTCAGGCTATGCCCTTGTTTACACTGACAACAGGTGGTATTGGAGTGTTACAGGGTCACAGAGAAGACCTTCAATTATCAATTACAGGTTTTAAATTTACCCTGGCTTTTAAAGGAATAGGGTACACTGTTTTTTCTTTACTCCTTCCATCTCTCTTTCTTTCTCTTTGACTTCTTCTTTGTCGCTCTTTCTGACTCCTTCTTTGTCTGTGTCTTCCTCTCTCTGTCTCCTCTTTGTCTTTCTGTTTCTTCCTCTCTCTCCCTTTCTCTGACTTTCTGTCTCTCTCTTTCCTTTCTGCCGCCTCTGCCAGCTGCTTATGCTGCTCTTCTCCCCTCTCCTTCCCCTTTTGATGGCTTCAGCAGTGTAAGACTGCCACCTCCTTGGGTTTTTGCACTGCATGCAATAACTCCATGGTTTCCTCAAGACATTTAATAGGGGTTCCTCAGAGGTTAAGAACTCCCTTTCTTTCTATATTGCAGCATGGGCATGTAGGATTAGATAAGCATACTTACTATCTGTAGCAAAGTCTCCCAATTACAACTGAGGCGGTGGTAGAAATACCTGGTTACAGGCTGTCCCAGGATTCCTCAGATCGTAACAGACCTTGAGGACAGCTCTCTGGGACAGGAGATTGACACTGAGAAAGCCATGCCAGTGTCCAGGAGGAAATCAATTTCCTGGCCCTCAATGGTTAAATGTACCTGGGGCTCAATGAGGATGATGAGGGTCCTTGCCCCAGGCACCCTCAGTCCTGTTGTTGGATCATCTGGTTGGGTGCTTCTGGCCCAGACAACCTTTGCCCTCTGGGGCAGTGCACCTTCCAGTGATTGCCTCAGCATAGTGGACATGGGTGAGGGGGCAGCTTGTTTCTTCTTGGACAATCTTTTTTAAAGTGTCCTTGTAAACCACACTGATAACAAGCCCTACTGGGTGATTGGCCTGCTCCATTTTCTGTCCTCTCTGAACCACCAAGGTTTGTTTGTCTGAGGGCCAGGACTAAGGCTGCAGCCTTTCTCTGATCTCACTTTTCCATTTGGGCCTGTTGCTCTTGGTCCCTATTACAAAACACTAACGTTTCCAGGTTTAATAATGCCTCCAGATTTTGTTCAGGGCCCAGGGCTCACTTTTGGAAGTTTCTCCCAATATCTGTGGCTGATTGGGTAACAAACTTGTCTTTTTGGATCAACTGACCCTCAAGTGAGTCGGGTGACAAGGGAGTATATTTTCTTAAGGCCTCCCATAACTGCTCGAGGAAGGCAGAAGGATTATCTTCCTTTCCCTGAGTCATGGTGGACAACATTGAATAATTCATGGTCTTTTTCCTAATTCTCCTTAGTTCTTCTAGAACACAGGTCAACAGATGTTTGCGACTCCAGTCCCCATGATCTGAATTGAGGTCCCAGTGGGGATCCATAATGGGGACGGCTTGCTGACCAGTAGGGAATTTGTCCCCTTCTTCAGCTGTCATTCTATCATTTACTTGACTAAGATACCAGGTGTCTCCAAACTTTCAGGCTGCAACTAAAGCCACATTCTTTTCATTAAAGGCCAGGGTTTGATCTAACAATAGCATGACATCTCTCCAAGTGAGATAGAAGGTTTGCCCTAGACCCTGTAGGATATCTATACACCTATCAGGATCATCTGAAAGCTTCCCCAGGTCTGCCTTGATCTGCTTTGAATCAGAGAGGGAGAAGGGGACATGTACCTGGGTTGAGCCAAATTCCCCTCCCCCTATAGGTTGAAGGGAACATAACCGATAGCCCGGGGGTTTTTATGGTCCTTTGGAGATTTCTTTGCTTGTTTCCTTCTGGGTGGGGGAGATTAGAGTAGGCTTATCATTAATAGGAAGGGAAGCTATAGGGAGGCTAGGATATGGAGGTAAGCTGAGAGGTCCTCCTGTGGGATGTAAATTGCAAGCTTTGCATAGTTGTGTATTCTCCTTCAATGAAAAGAAACCTTGGACATAAGGGATTTCACTCCATTTGCCTTCCCTCTTACAGAAAAGGTCAAACTGCAGGATAGTATTGTAATTTATACTTCCCTCAGGTGGCCATTTTTCCCCATCAGAGACAGAATATTGGGGCCGTAAGTGCAGAAAAAAAGGAGCCGCCCCTTTTTCAGGGTTTGCGGGTCAAATTGGTCCCAATGGCTTAGGATGCATTTCAAGGGTGAGCCTGTTGGTGTCTGAGTGTTTCCCATCTGAAAGACAAAACCACCTGGGGTTTTGGTTTGTTTGTTTCCCCCACTCCCCGCCCAAGAACCCACAATGGTCCATAGACCCTGCTGATCAGAATAGTTGCACTCACTGACACAGCAGCAGAAACACCTCTTCCCCAAGAACCTGCAGTGGTCCCTGGACCCTGCTGATCAGAATAGTTGCGCTCATTGAAGCAGCAGCAGAAACAGTAGTTTTCCTCCTAGACTACAAGGAGGACCAAGGAAGGTCAGATTTAGTGGCCCTTACTGATGCATTCTCAAAAACCTGCACACTTGCCTGTCCTCCTAGACCACAAAAAGGACCGAGAAAAATTGGATTTAGTGGCCTTTACCGATGCATTCTCGAAAACCTGTTAGAGTCCTAAGCATTCTCCTGTTAGTATTGGGACTTTACCCCATCCTATAAAGATGTTATGCCCCAAAAATTAAGTAGAGGGCCATACCCTGAGTGAGAGAAGCGATCTCCAGGGTTGGAAGAGTGATGCCTTTTGTCCTCTCTTAAGTAGGAAGGATAACATTCCTGAGGCTCCCCATATCCTAGCTTCAGGAATAGCTTTTGTTAGGCCTGCTAGTCTGAGGAGGGATCCTAAAATTCCAGATAAGATAGTCCCCCTGCTGATGGGGCTTTAGGCAAAAATTATGTCTTTCTGATTGGTGAGCCCGGGTGCCTAAAGAAGGGAGCAGAGTCCTGAAGTTTACACTAGAAATCATTCTTATAGGAGTAACTAGAAAAGCACCAGAGACAAGGAGTGGTTTTTGGAAGCACTCTCGGAGAAGAGAAATGAGAGGAAGATTGTCTGACAAGCATTAGGACCCAGGAGGCAAGGGTCAGGATAGATAGGATAGATGGGCAAGTCTCACTTGGGCGACATGACTTTGAGAGTTCCACTCATGGCCGCAGGGTGAACCAACTTGTTGTCAGGACCCTGGAGCTGCATGGCTTTCCTCTCTGTCGACCCTCGGCTCAGCCCAGAAGTACAGGAAAAACCTGGTTCCAGGCAAACCAACACTCCCAAATGCAAAGAGTCAGGGGTTGTTAGAGAGCCCTTTCCCAGAAAACCTGACACCTGTGTCTAGTGCGGCAGCCATGCTAGTCACTTTTAACTGGCTGACAGGGGCCCGGTATATAGCCCCGAATTCTAAGGAAAAATAAGACAGAATAGCAAGTGAAAGGGATCCAATGGTACTCACCACTTGGCAATAGGTGATAGTCCCTTCGTGGTTGCCAAAATGTGTCCAGAATTTATTCCTTCTGGTGGGTTCTTGGTCTCGCTGACTTCAAGAATGAAGCCACGCACGCTTGTGGTGAGTGTTACAGCTCTTAAAGATGGTGTGTCTGGAGTTTGTTCCTTCAGATGTTAATATGTGTCTGGAGTTTCTTCTCTACGTTAACGAAATTCAATACTGTTGAGTGACTTCCAGACAAATACAAGCAAACCGAAATCTGGAAAAAACCAAAGATGTCTGTAATGCTTAATAAGAAGGTCCAGGGCTGGAATTTTACATTTAGCAGCTCTATCATTTGTATAAACACTGGTTCTTGGTCTCACTGACTTCAAGAATGAAGCCGCAGACCCTCACGGTGAGTGTTACAGCTCTTAAAGATGGTGTGTCTGGAGTTTGTTCCTTCCGATTTTCAGATATGTCTGGAGTTTCTTCCTTCCAGTGGGTTCGTGGTCTCACTGACTTCAGGAATGAAGCTGCAGACCCTCTCAGTGAGTGTTATAGCTCATAAAGGTAGTGCAGACCCAAAGAGTGAGCAGCAGCAAGATTTATTGTGGAGAGCGAAAGAACAAAGCTTCCACAGCATGGAAAGGGACCCAAGCAGGTTGCTGCTGCTGGCTCAGGTGGCCAGCTTTTATTCTGTTATTTGGCCCCACCCACATCCTGCTGATTGGTCCATTTTGCAGAGTGCTGATTTGTCCATTTTACAGAGTGCTGATTGGTCCATTTTGCAGAGTGCTGATTTGTCCATTTTACAGAGTGCTGATTGGTCCATTTTACAGAGTGCTGATTGGTGCATTTACAATCCTTTAGCTAAACACAGAGAGATGATTGGTGCATTTACAATCCTTTTGCTAGACAGAAAAGTTCTCGAAGTCCCCACCTGCCTCAGAAGGCCAGCTGGCTTCACCTCTCACTATGGGGGCCCTCTGTCAGGGCTGGAACCCTACATTTCCCTCTGCATTACCTTAGCAAAGGTTTTCCATGAGGCCTTTGCCTCTGCAGTAGACTTCTGCCTGCTTATTTAGGCATTTATATACATCCTCTGAAATTTAGGTGGAGGCTCCCAAAGCTCAACTCTTACCTTCTGTGCACCTGCAGGCCCAACACTACATGGAAGTTGCCAAGGCTTAGGATTTGCACCCTCTGAAGCATCAACGTGAGCTGTATGTTGCCCCTTTTAGCCATGGCTAGAGCTGGAGCTGCTGGGATGCAGGACACCCAGTCCTGAGACTACACAAAGCAGCTGAGCTCTGGGCCTGGCCCACAAAACAATTTTTCTCCTCTAGGCCTCTGGGCCTGTGATATGAGAAGATGCCTTGAAGATCTCTGAAATGCCTTGGAGCCATTTTCCCCATTGTCTGGTTGATTAACATTTGGCTTTTCATTATTTATGCAAATGTATGCATCTGGCTTTAATTCCTCTCTCAGGAAATGGGTTTTTCTTTTCTACCACATAGTTAGGCTGAATATTTTCCAAACTGTTATGCTCTGCTTGCCCTTTAAAAATAAGTTCCACTTTCAATCCATCTCTTTGTAAGCTCATATAACTGTATGTTTTCAGGAAAAAGCAGGACACATCTTGAATGCTTTGCTGCTTAGAAATTTCTTCTGCCAGATACCCTAAATCAGCTCTCTCAAGTTCAAATTTCCAAAGATCTCTAAGGCAGAGGCAAAATGCTGCCAATCTCTTTGCTAAAGCATAGCAAGAGTGACCTATGCTCCAGTTCCCAATAAGTTTCTTATCTCTGTCTGAGACCACCTCAGCCTGAACTTCCATATCACTATCAACATTTTGTTCAAAACCATTAAACAAGTCTGTAGGAAGTTACAAACTTTCCCACATCTTCCTGTCTTCTTCTGAGCCCTCCAAACTGTTCCAATCTCTGTGTGTTACCAAGTTCCACATCTCCAGGTTATCTTTATAGTAGTGCTGCATTCCTGGTACCAATTGTCTGCATTAGTCCATTCTGACACTGCTGTACAGACACTGCCCTGAGACTAATTTATAAAGAAAAGAAATTTAATTGACTCACAGTTTCACGTGGCTTGGCAGGCCTCAGGAAACTTACAATCATGGTGGAAAGTGAAGAGGAAGCAAGGCACATTTTACATGGTAGCAGAAAAGAGTGAGAATGCAGGGGAAACTGCCACTTTTAAAATCATCAGATCTGGTGAGAACTGCCTCACTACCATGAGAACAGCATGGGAGAAAGCACCCTGATGATCCAATCACCTCCCACTATGTACCTCCCTCGACATGTTGGGATTACAATTTGAGATGAGATTTGGGTGGGAACACAAACCTAAACCATATCAGGTAGTTCTTTATAGCAATGTGAAAATGGACTAACACAATTTCTTAAATACTGAGCCAGAAAAATTAATCGGAAACAAGGTACTTACACAGAATCTTATCTTTGTGCATGTGTGTTTGTGTGTGTGTGTGTGTGTGTGTGTGTGTGTGGGTGGCCTTGTTGAAATGTCTTGTATAAAGTGCTAGAAGTTTCTATATTATTTAAAATACTTTGTCTTATGGGTATAAAGTATTATGCTCCATTCATAAATGAAATATTTGATGTTATTATAATATTATACATTTTGTGTTTGTGTGTTTGTCTGCAGATATACACACACTTGAGGTATATCTAGTAGGACTGAGAGTTAATAATTTTATTTTAATTTTAAGTTATTTAGCTTTAAATATACACATATGTACATATAGTGACTTCTATAGTAAGCAGAACTCTGCCAAAGAAATGCACACTATTTTATATCATTTGAGATCTTAAGTATCATTTTTCAGTTCCTATTATTATCAAGACAGTCCAAGGTGATGAAATTACATAAAACCAAGTGATATAGCCATATTAATTTCCAATAAAAATGACAACATTAAATAAAAAGCTCTACACATATGCTTCAGATATTTGTGAAAGTTGTCTGCTTTTAAAAAAATCAATAGCAGAATATTTATTTCACTCTTACTAATTTACTAGAAGGTAGGATGTTTTCCCGGAGACAATAAGATTGGAATGAAACAAGGACATGAACAAGCTGTATTCCTGAAGGGAGTGACAAATTAACTCAATGTTTTATTGCTGAACTGAATTAATTGTAGGCTAAGAAAAAAGAGAGAAGAGTCAGGGGAAGAGACATTTCTGAAAACAATCACAGTACCTTCAACTTACCTTTATTGATAAGTTACTTCAACAGAAAGGAAGTAGAACAGAGTATATGTAATAAACCCCAGCTGAATAATGAAGATTGCTAATTGGATGCTATGTTTTTTTAAACTTGGTTTTATAGTTTCATAACATGTACATGGTATAGAAAAGTCTATTTCTAAGCATAAATGTAACCATGTGTGTGTGTGTGCGTGTGTAATTAATTAATAATTAGGCAAAAAATACAATACAATAAACCTTTTTATTGGTTCTAAATGGCCACTGAAAACATCTGAGAAAAATTTATGACTTCTAAGGTTAGAGACGGACTTCCAATTTTAGGTACAACATGAAAAGTATTTAGAAGCCATCTTTCCCATCCATACAAGAAATTAAGATGAAAACAAATACAAAAATCTCTGAAAACCAATGACTTTTCTTAGACCCATTAGAGAACTAAAGTTGCAGGGAAAACTCCCCACCATGAAATCTTGGTAGATAAATTCAAAGAGTTAAAGTCAAGATCTGCAAAACTGTAGCAGAAGTTGAGGGAGCCATTAACAGGTAGAAATACTGATGCGGTAATTAAATTAATGGCTGGAGGTTGAATGTGAACCAGCCTGACAGTGAGAAAATTCTGAGGCCACAGTGTTAGCCGGTCCCCACCCTTCCATGGGCTTTATCTCCAGGAACATTATCAGGTTTTCCAGATTAAGATGAAAGCATGATTGATCCCTTTATAGCCCTGTTAGGGGAAGGCAAGATTAATGTTTGTGAAATATTTTCAGAGCTTTCTCCATAAGCAAAGACCTGCTCTCTAGGGCAAAAGATTTTATCAGAGCTTTATTCCAGCTGAGGAAAGGGCATTGGTTCTACCCCAGCCCTCTGTAGCCATTCTGTCTCACCAGTGGAGGAGGAAAAAGTAGCTATACCACTGATGAAACAGTTTGGAAGTCACAATCCCAAGAGAAAGCCCACTAAAAACAAAGATATAAGCATGAGGTTATAGAATGTTTCCTGACCTTTGTCCTTAACATGACACAAACAGGGCTTCAGTATAACAACAGTGGATTACAATTAAATGAACTGCAAGACTCTCTGGAGGAATGTGTTGGAAAACTCAAAGTCAATAGTGGAAGCACAAACAAGAATGCTAAAGGAGTTTGAAGCCTCTAGAACCTATGGCTTCAATAAACATTTGAATACAGCTCAACTTCTAGTAAGATTAATATAAATCTCACATGCAAGGCCTGTTTAGTTTAATTCCTACTACCTGATACAATGTGTCCAGCTTTCAAAAAAGAAAAAATTATAAGGCATGCCAACTGGCAAGACAACAAGACATTTTCTGAAAAGAAAAGCAAGATGTAGAAATATATACAAATATGACACAGTTGCTGGAATTATCTGAATGGGAATTAAAAATAATTGTAATAAATATATTAAGGGCTCACTGGAAATGGTAAACAACGTGCATTAACAGATGGGTAATGTAAGCACAGATGTGATAACTCAAAAGGTTAGTGAAGTCTAATATGTCTGCTTGCATAACTTTTTAAACTCTAAATTAGTTGTTCAAATTGCATGATGATGTCCTATGATTAAAATATAAAATAAGATATACCGATAAAGAGATTGCCTGCCATTTTATAGTATTTTAGAGCTTATAATGCATTGGTACTTAAATTATTGTATTAAGTCCTAATCACAGATCTGGGAAGTAGAAAAGCAGGCATTATTATTATTTTTGTACAGAGTAGCATTTAGAAGCTGTATCAGTCTGCTTAAAACTAAGTTCGGCTGTGGCAACAAATGGCATCCTAATCTTAGTGGCTTACATCAACACAAACTTATTTTTCACTTAGTTTACAGGTTTATCAAATGTGTGGCTTTGACTCTTTATTCTAAGACATTAGCTGAAGGAGTATGCAGGATATTGCTTTTGTCCTGCAGACAAAAAGAACACTAACAGATGCATGTGATGGTTCTTAAGGCTCTTCTAAGAAATAGCATATGCCATTTTTTCTCATTTTGCATTGACAAAATCAAGTCGCAAGACCAAGTCGTTTTCACTGTGGCACTCTTAATCTAACCACAGTACAGGGCTTACTAGGAAAAAAAAAAAAACAAGAGTCAAGGGCTACAATTCTTTAGACAATAATACACTCTGCCACAGATACAAGGGCTTATCCAAGGCTTGTGGTGACATCAGTTAATTATAAATTCTTGATTCCACATATGATGTTGTCATAATTTATCATCTGGAAAAGAAAAATTAAAATGGAAGAATGTTGGAACATAAAATGAAATAATTATGATTTTAATATCATTAAATCAGTATGTAAAAGCTTTGAGTGATACATCAATTAAAAATAGTATCAGCTACATTTTTTTTTTATTTTGCTGAGCCAAATAGGAGTTTTCTTTTCTTGCATAGTAAGAATTTGTAAGTAGGTAGTCCTAAGTCTGATGCAGCGGTCTATGATGACATAAAAAACACAGACTTTTTCAAGCTTTCTTAAAGAATGACTCTTATCCTTATGCCTGTATGCTCACAGTCTCAAATGACTACCAAATTGCCATGAACATGTCTATATTTAATGCAGAAAGAAGAGAAAATCAATGGACTAAAGTTTTATGCCAAATGAAAATTTTTAATGTTCTTGTCTGTATTTTAATAAGCATTGTAGTTCACCATAGATGCAAAAACATTTCATCTTCTTCTTAGGAATTTTATTTTGTAAAACTGTTAATTTTAAATGAGAGAGTTTTGAATAAGAAAACGTACATAATCAATATTTGTAAGTGAAGATCAGAAAGAAGATAAAAGAAACGTGAGGGAACCAAGTAGCACAAAATAAAATGATATATATAAAATGATAGTTATACAATAAGTAATTATGTTGGATATGGGAAAGTGATCTTATAAAAGAAAAATATCCAGATAACTTTTTTAAAGAAAAAGAATAAATGAAATTTTACTTGATACTATTCACAGTGTACTCATTAACAACATAATTATATATAATAAAGGATAAAATAAAAAGTCAAAAACCTTTTGACTTTGGCAAAATTTAATTAAAAATTCATAGATGTAAGTATGACAATACCAAATAAAATAGACTTACACATAGAAGCAATTATAGATATAATTAATGTCACTTCAACTTTGTTGATTAAATTAAAATACAATAATAATATTGTACATACATGTAAATTATATATACAATAATAATTTTAGATTTGTATGTACCTTATAAATAGCCCCAGAATATTAACAATAAAGATTAGTGAAACTAGGGGAAAAACTAAGAAAAACAAAATGATAATGGTAGATTTTTACATACTTTTTCAGCAATTGGTAGAACAAGCCTATAAAATCAATAATAACAAAGGAAATTAGAACAAATCGGCTAACAAAACAAAAATGCCCAGCAAAATAGAGAAAGTGACCATCCAAATATAAAAACAATATGTGAAGAAGAGAGAATTGCAGATCAGGATGAAAATTTTGAATTTTCAATAAACATTGCTAGGAAAATTGCTTTTCCTTGTGGGAAAAAAAATGGCTGTTCATACAGAAAACTGAATTCTTTTCTCAGATCATACAATTCCATTTCAATTCAAGACCAAAATATCAATGGAGAACCTTAAAAACTGAAAACTGATATGACTATCTTCATGTTCTTCAATAGAGAAGAAACTCCTCAAGATACTACAAGTGAAATAATTTTAATAGAGAAAGGCCGATAAATTTAATCATATTAAAGTTAAGAAATTCTGTTCCATTAAATGCCATGTAAAATTTTTAAAAAGATAAGTCATGCATTTAGAAAGAATATTTTCAAAACACATAGTTAGCTGATTAAAATATGCATAACTTCTATGGATCAGTAAGAAAAAAACAACTAACTCAATAGAAAATAAAAGAGTAAAACGTTCCAACAAGCTCTTCACAAAACAGAAAATCCAAGTGGTCTATAAACATATGGAAAGCTGTGCTAATATATTAGTAACCAGGTATATACAAAGTAAAATCACCATAAGATACTGCTGTGTTGCCAATAGTTTAGCAAAAATAAATTTAACAGAAATGTAAAATAAGCAGTGTGAGATTATAGATCAACAGGAACTTTTATCCATGGCTTTTTGAGGTGTAAATTTGTATACCACTATGGAAAACACTAAGGCAACAGCTAATAAAGGTAAATATGGACATGTCTTCTTACTCAGTGATTTCATTCCTAGGCGTGCACTCTTAGAGATATTTTGTACATTTGTGCCATGAGAAATGTACAAAGCCTTCATAGTAATCTAAATGTCAGTCAGTAGAAGATTGTAAGATATGTTCAAAACATGGGATTTCACAGAACAACATGTATGAATTCTATAGATATAGCATTAAGTAAAATAATCAGATGTGAGTTGTATGTATGGAGCTCAGAAACTGGTACTATTAAATAATGTCATTTTAGAAATACTATTTTTACAAAAGCTATGACAGCGGTTGCCTTGCTTTGGAATTAAGACACATACTTCGGAAGGAGTAGACAGTGGGTTTCTAAGGTATTAGCAAAATTGCAAACCTGGCTTATTATTATCTGAATGTTTACTATATAATAGATTATAAAACTGTACTCACAGATTTTACACACTTTTTGACATTTATGAGACATTTTCACAATAAACATGAAGTTACAAACAACATTGTATAATCTAAATTATAGTGGAGAATCATTAACTATTTTATATACATTATAAGTGACATTAGGAAAACAATATTGACCTAGAACTTGATTAAACAGGCTTCAACTCATTCTTCTATCACTGCCTAGATTTGGACTTTGGGAACACTCGACTTCTCATGTATGAAAGAGACATAGGATTGTTATCAAGGTTAAATGAGATAATACAAAGTGCTTATATTTTGTTATCTTCCCAAACACACTTGTTTTTATTTTTAACATTTGCAGATGGTACCACTATTTCCTTCCCGATTTTCAGACCAGATATTGATTAGTCAGAATTTTCCTTATTTTACCTCATTCTTCAGTTTAATTTTGTCCCCAATTCCAATGCATTCTACCTCCTAAAGTTTCTATAAACATTTATTTTTCCTACATATATCACTCCTTATGTTCAGACATCTGTCTTCTCTAACCTGAATTTATTTCTATGGCTTTAATTTTGGTATTCTTGGCTCAGGTTTTATTTTCTTTCTGTTCTTTTATTTTTCTAACTCACAGGTAAGCAGAGTGAACGTTCCCAAATTTGCATAGATGTCCATTAATTTGCTTCTTTAAACTCTTAATGACTGATTATCATATAGCTGATAAAACTCACCTTCCATTCAGTTTATTTTTTAATGAAATTATTCATGTATCCCTTCATTCATCCTTCCATTTATCTGTTCACATATCTATCCATCTACAAAATTTTTGTTTACATAGTATTGTGAAGTATATTGTATTTTGGGAGTGAAACTATTTAGGCTATCATAGGCCAATAATGAATATATTCATTAGTCTATAATATCCCTGAAATTGTGTAAGGATTCATTTCCTCTTTTTAGCACGTTTTTCCTCCAGAGTATTGAATTATGTGTATCTGTTGAAACCCACTTTGCCTCTGTTATGTGCCCTCTGTTTCCATAGTCATTCTTACTGGTAAACACCTTTTCAAAGATGAGTTCTTTCTGATCTCATCTTCTGTAATATGCCCCTTTGATTGCCTCAGATAAGGTTAACCATATTGCCTCCTATATTCCTTTAGAGATTTCAATCAATAAATCCATTTTATGTTTGTTTGGCTAGACGATCACAAGCTATTGGGAACAGAAACTGGCAAACACATACTCATATTTCCACAAAGTATAGAAAGAGCTAGAATACCTGAGGCATTCGGTAGAAAATATGCACCACAGCAGAATGGCTGAAAGCATGCTCTTAAGTAATCAAATTACATGTGCTAAACAACATATATCTAAGGTAGAGCTATATGCTTAGTAATTTAGATGATTATTAAATTTTAATTTTCTTTTTTCTCACTTTTAGACAATGCACTTACCTTACAAAAACTTATTTTCAAGCCTTTTACATTTTTCTACTACTCTCCTTTGAGGATTGTGCAGCCTACTCTATTTTCTATGAAGTCTGGCACATTTTAGAAACTCAATAAATATTGGAATAATAGTCATATATAGTGAGCTATAGTCCCTGTTATTTTTCTTTCTCTCTCCAAGACAACTTTATAAGCAGGAACTTCGGGGAGAATAATTTTATTATCAATGACAGTTGAGCTTACACTTTCTAAAACTTTTCTATTTTCCCTGTCTGTGGAATTTATGAGATACCAGATGTGTTTAGGAAAATAATTTGAAGTAACACTCTGGCCTTAATATGGGAAGTACTAAAACCTCTAATTGTATTTCAGGTAGTAGATCAATTCGACCTTCCATAATAGGAACCTGAAATATAGAAGGCATTTGTGTACTGTTAGTGTTCAAACTTTTACACATTCCCAATATTATCTCTACTTAAAGTGCCTAAATATAGTCACATCATGATAAAACAGAGCCTTAATTCAGACTCTTTCAAATTCATACTCTTAGATCCTAACTCTAGCAACCAATAAGGTTATACTATCTGATCTGGAAACACTGTGAGCTATGGATTATCTTTTCCAACAAGCAGAGATCTCTGAATGCAGTCCATTTGTCACTCACGCATGAAATTTCAGGGTTGAACAGATTGGACAAAAATCACAATTTTTTTTGTCTATGACATTTTCTTATGAGTATGTATAAAAGTAACCAGGAGAAGAGCAGAGTTTTAAAAAGTGCTTTCTATATTGGTGTTGATCTCTTCCATAGAATAAAATCATGTCATTACCCAGTCCTCAACAAGTGAATTTTTATTTGATTCTTAGTGTGCTTTTTCTTAAGTTCTATTTAGAAAGTAGAAATAACTTTCTATTGATATCCTACCCATAGCATAGTCATTCAATGCTGCTTTATTTCAACAACATATTTGGAGAAAAAAGACAGCTTGTCTTTCCATCGTGTGCATTTGAAGATTAAAACACTGGATCATTTAAATGCCCTGTGGTGAGAGATTAAAAAAAAATGTAATGCAACCTGCTTTGAATTAGCTATCCACCTAAAACATATTTATTTTCCCTGTGAATGAAGGTAGGCCTCATTTCCTCATTTTACCTTGATGATTATGAACTTTTTACACAACCAAATTTTCTACTGATTATAATTTGATGAAGAAAATGTCAGAAAAATTAAATCAAATCTAAATGGCATTCCTTTGGAAAAATACACATATAAATAAGTCCCCATGTCTCCCCACCCCCTGCTCTGCCTTTACTGGGTTGCTAAATCCAGGTTTCTGTAATAAAATGTAATGTTACTGAAACCATCCTTTATAGATATGGAGAAGATCACCTATTCTTTGTGTCTTTCTAAAGCCTTTGCAAAAACATTTGTCACTGTCAAAACTACGAATATGCATGCTTTAGTTGTGGATGAGCTGCAGCACAGCTATTCACCATCGTTATAAATCAGCCGCTCCTTAGAATATCATTTCTTGTTGCCACATGAAAGGTTAGCAGAAAGGAAAAGTCTTCTCCCTACCATTTCTTACTTCATTTTGAAATCTGTTCCCTCAGGTGACATTTATAAACAAAACTGCGGTTCTGTTAATGCTTGTGAAAAGTATTAACTGTCAGCATATCTATACCAGTTGCTCCATCTGTTTCCCTTAATTCAATTTGTCTTTATTGTTCCCATCCTTTGATAATCACCTGTGTCATCTAAAATATATAAATTGAATCATAGATTCTAGTGTGGTTCTTTCTTTGGAGTCTTTATTAAAAGCAGAGGTAAAAGTATAAATAACTTAATAGTTTTACTTTGATTTCCTCAGTTGATGAAATTCCAAAAAAAAATTATAGACTCTCTTGTTTATATGGTGTGATTTCATAAATTTTGCTGCATCCCTGAATCCCAAATCTATATGTGACAAATGATTTAAAGGTGCATTATATTCAAAAGAGTTATTTAAAGAGGTGCAGATTATGACTAATTACATCATTTGAAGAAAATTAATGTATTCACCAAATTCAGAGTGTTGGTATTCAGATAGCAAGAATGCAAATTAGGCTCTCGGCATTTAAATTCCACATGAAAATAATAATTTAAGGCATACATTATGAATGCACATAGCCCTACCTTATACTGTTTGGGTTAGTTTACAGGAAATAAGATTGTTGTATCTAGTAAGGCAAAAGTTAGTACATAAAATATAAACTTCTATCCACTTGGGATAATAGGCTGAGAATTGTATGTATATTATTACATTTAAATCTCATTTAAACCTCCTCTGATTCCATTCTGTAAGAAATGGTGCTTAAACTCTATGGATATTATTTTGGCAAACAATTCAGTAGCATATGTTAGTCAAATTTGCATGCTTTAGATCACTTTCCTTATTCATACTCACAGTTATCCTTCTAACTTGTCCCCACTTCCTTTCTTAACAACAACGAAAAATACAGAAGTAGAACTTGAAATTAAAATTAAACATTTCTCTCTAAATAATTTCTTAAATACCAATATATAGTATTTTTTCAGACTAATGATAACATAGAAATATGGGACCATGTATTTATAAAGCTATATCTTATTATATATACATCTTATTCTAGTGTTATTTTGTATGGTACCACAATTACTTATGTAGTTCAAGGATCTGTACATTTCTTGGTCTACTGGATTACTCTTTATAATATAATTTTTTAATTATATGATTTCAAAAGTTCACCAGTGCAACATCCTTATTTAACAATGCATCTTTCTCATCAGATGCAACCATATGGAGGCTTACTATACAATTGTTTTATGTCCACATGGTTAGGGCTAGGGAAGTACTTTTCAGTACATTGTTACTCTTGTTATATATATATAGTGTATGTGTGTGTTTGTATGTTATAGAAACCTTACTGAATTGTGGGAAAAGCTTTAAATTATTTTTCCACTAAATTTCAAGGGGACATCTACTTTACATATTGGAACATTTATTTCCTAGTCTTTCATAGCACTCTTTTCTATTATCTGTACCAAATTTATCCCTATATTTGTTTTACAATCATTCCTCTGGCATAGCCACTTCACTTCCTTTGCTTTATAGAACAATTCTTCCTATCAGAAAAATTTGTCTGATCAACTTTAGTTTACAGTAAATTTTCTTCTAAATACTTGTGGAGATTTTTTTCCAGTTAGAATATAGCCTTTGAAAATATTATTTTAATACTTATTTTATAATTGTCATGGTACTCAACAGTCTTAATAAATACATAAATATTGATTTGTTAAAAAAGATTACATATATTAATAGACTATATATTTATATATAGTATATATATATAGTGTATGCATTATAAACATATATATTTATATATATATAAATATATTGGAGTGCAGTGACAGGATGATCACAGCTCATTACAGCCGCAACCTTCTGGGCTCAAGCAATCCTCTCACCTCAGCCTCCCAAGAATCTGGGACTAAAGATGCTCACCACCACGCCCAGCTAATGTATGCATTTTTCTGTAGAGATGAAGTTCTGCCATATTTCCCAGGCTGCTCTCAAACGCCTAAGCTCAAAGACTCTTCCTGACTAGGCTTCCCAAGTGCTGGAATACATGAGCCACCA
Organism: Homo sapiens; assembly: GCF_000001405.40. Lineage (NCBI taxonomy): Eukaryota > Metazoa > Chordata > Mammalia > Primates > Hominidae > Homo > Homo sapiens. Next base: position 38,099,096 of record NC_000011.10, on the reverse strand, counting down.
TGCCCATTGATATGGTCTGGCTCTGTGTCTCCACCCAAATTCTCATCTTCAATTGTAATCCAAATTGTAATCCCCCTGTGTTAGAGGAGGGACATCGTGGGAGGTGATTAGATCATGGGAATGGTTTCTCAATGCTATTCTCATGAAAATGAGGGAAATTTCTCTAGATCTAATGGTTTCTGCACTTATTTCTCCTGCCGTCATGTGAAAATGGATGTGTTTGCTTCCCCTTCCACCATGATTATAAGTTATCTGAGGCCTCCCAAGCCATGCAGAACCATGAGTCAATTAAACCTCTTTCCTTTATAAATTACCTAGTCTCAGGTATTTCTTCATAGTAATGGGAGAACACAATAATACAGCAAATTGGTATTGGGCGTCAGGTACTTCTGTAAAGATAACCAAAATTGTGGAAGTGACTTTGGAACTGGATAACAGGCAGAGGGTGGAACAGTATGGAGGGCTCAGGAGAAGACAGGAAGATGTGGGAAAGTTTAGAACTTCCTAGATACTTCTTGGTTTTCACCAAAATTCTGACAGTGATATGGACAATGAAGTGCAGGCTGAGGTGGACTGAGATGGAGATGAGGAGCTTATTAAGACCTGGAGCAAAAGTGACACTTGCTATGCTTTAGCAAAGGGACTGGTGGCATTTTGCCTCTGCCCTAGAGATTTGTGGAACATTGAACTTCAGAGAACTGATTTAGGGTACCTGGCAGAAGACATTTCTAAGCAGCAAAGTGTTCAAGAGGTGATGGAGAATAAAACTTGGAAAATTTGCAACCTGATGATGCGATAGAAAGGAAAAACCTGTTTTCTGAGGAGAAATTCAAGCCAGCTGCAGAAATTTGCATAGGTAACGAGGATCCAAATGTTAATCACCAAAACAATAAGGAAAATGTCTCCAGGACTTGTCAGTGGCATTCATGGAAGCCCCTGTCATCACAGGCTCTGAGGCCTAAAAGAGAAAAATTGATTCATGGGCTTGGCCCAGGGCCTTGCTGTTTGTGCAGTCTCATGACTTGGTACCCTGTGTCCCAGCCATGGCTAAAAGGAACCAACATGCAGCTCAGGGCCATTGCTTTAGAGGGTGTATGCCCCAAGCCTCGGCCACTTCCATGTGGTGCTGGGCCGGCCGGTGCACACAAATCAAGAATTGAGGTTTGGGACCTCTGCCTAGATTTCAGAGGATGTATGGAAACTTCTGGATGTCCAGGAAAAAGTTTGCTGCAGGGGCGGAGACCTTGTAGAGAACTTCTGCTAGAGCAGTGAGGAAGGGTAATGTGGAGTTGAAGCCCCATCACACAGTCCCCAATGGGCACCGCCTAGAGGTGCTGTGAGAAGAGGGCCACCATCTTCAAGGCCCCAGAATGATAGATCCACCGACAGCTTACACAATTTGCCAGGAAAAACCACATTCAACACCAGACTGTGAAAACAACCAGGAGGAGAATTGCACCCTGCAAAGCCACAGGAGCGGAGCTTCCCAAGGCCATGGGAACCCACCTCTTGCATCAGCATGACATGTATGTGAGACATGGAGTCAAAAGAAATCATTTCAGAGCTTAAGATTTGACTGCCCTGTTGGATTTCAGGCTTGCATGGGGCCTGTGCCTTTGTCTGAGCCAATTTCTCTTATGTGGAGTGGCTGTATTTACCCAATTTCACTGTACCCCCATTGTATCTAGGAAGAAACTAACTTGCTTTTAACTTTACAGGCTTATAGGCAGGAAGGGCTTATCTTGTCTCTGATGAGACTATGGACTTGGACTTTTGGGTTAATGCTAAAATGAGTTAAGACTGCGGAACTGTTGGGAAGGCATAATTGTGTTTTGAAATGTGAGGAAAATGAGGCTTGGGTGGGGCCAGGGGCAGAATGATGTGATTTGGCTGTGTCCCCACTCAAATCTCATTTGAATTTTAATCCAAATTTTAATCCCCATGTATTGTGGGAAGGATATCATGGGAGGTGATTAGATCATGGGGGCAGAACCCCCATGCTGTTCTCCTGATGATGAGTGAGTTGCCACAACATCTGACTGTTTTATGAGGGGCTCTTCTCCCCTTTGCTCTGGATTTCTCTCTCGTGCTGTCATGTGAAGAAGGACATATTTGCTTCCTCTTCCACCATGATTGTAAGTTTCCTGAGGCCTCCTCTGCCATATGGAACCGTGACTCAACTGATTCTCTTTTCTTTATAAATTATCCAGTCTCAGGTATTTCTTCATAGCAGCATCAGAGCAGACTAGTACACCCAGCCAAATATTTTAATAGTACCAATATTCTGCATTCATGTCATATAAAATTAGTTGTTGAAATTATAGAGACTGAAAAGTTTTACTAACTCATATAGAAAAATCAAATGCATTTTTATTTATTTTACCTAATAGCCACTGTGTTCACAGTGACCTTGAAATATAGTTTTAAATTTTTAATAAGACAAGTAACTAAGTCAACTTCAAATGTGACTTTGCATTGTAAGATGTAATGTCAGATTCTGGAGAAAAATTCTTAGTTCCACATTAAGCACTTTTTATAACCAATTAGAAAACATGTTTTCTTCTATTTGCTTAATATTTTTCATAAATTGTAAGCAATAAAGTTTCAGTTAGAGCAGAACACATTGGGAGGCGAGATATCTCCCTATGCACTAATTAGATATTCCTTTTAGATTGGGCAAAGTGCAAAGACTTGATAGCTGTAAAGCAAAGTATAGATAAAGAATGGAGCATTTCCTATTTAGCAAGAAAATTTGCTTGACTGATATCTCTAGTTTGATCTGAATCCTGTTCTTCAACTCCATACTGCCTTTTCCTCTACCAATTTATATGTGAAATGCAATGGGCAAACTGCTTTCTTTTTTGATCATCATCTTCCCATATCTGTTACCCTTTATCCCTCTGTTCAATGAAGACAATCTAAAAAGCCAGCAAAATTTGCATTTTAAAGACCAGTGAAATTATTTTTAAAGATCAAATGTATTTAAACAGTAAACACTTTTTTTTCTTTTGTCTTTAAACACTGAGACTCCTAACAACCAATTGTTTAGATCCTGGTCTCTTCATGTAGGTCTCTTCTCTCTCTCTCTTTCTCTCCTTTTTTCTTTCTTTTCTCTCTTTGTCTGTGCCTCCCACTCCTTCTCCCCTCCCTTCCATTCCTATCTTTCCATTCCAAATACTTTCGAGAAAATTAGAGATACATTTTCAATGGTAAGTTAGTTTAAAAATAAAATCATATTTAGTGGTGGAAAACTCATCTATTGTCAAATGTAAAAGAGAAAATTAATTCATTTATAATAACATTAATTGAAAATATGCTTCAAAGTAAGAGAGTAAAACAATTCCCCACCTAAACTATTTGGTGTTCAAACATTTAAATTAGAGATAGATATACAGAGGAGTGATTAGCATTTTTATTTTGGTGAGCGGAATAATAACGTCTTTTGTTAAACATGATCAAATTACCTGTTAAAAATGTTTTCTTAAATTATGTATGCATATACATATAAATTTCCATATAGTCTTTTTTTCTCAGTTTGGTTACATGTGTTTTAGACAATGAATATACTTCTCTCCTTCCACAGGAGCTAAAGCTAATAATAATCTGTCACAAGGCATCATTCATTTGGGAGTGACATATCTGTCTGTTCAGCAGAGTAAAACTTTATGAATAATTCACTTTCCTTTGACTAGGTATTTCTGATTCTGTGTTGTATTAACTTTCAGGATATATTTTTGCACTCCGTAGAGAATGTGACCTACAGGATCCACTAGCAAAAGAAATCTGACTGTTAGAGGTTAAAGGAACAGTAAAGATCTAGTTCCACTTTTGAATCCTGCAGATGGGAAATTTGAAACTTGGAGAGTTAGTGGTTTTCTCCAAGGTCACATCAAGACAGAAGTCAAGCCAGGATAAAAATCAAGGGAAAAACAGTGACATGGTGGGAGAAGTGTTCCCAAACTCTGAATGCAAGGTAACGTATATAACAAATAAGAAGTTTTTAAGAAATACCTAAGAAAAAAGTGAACATGATTTACATTATATCATATAAAATAGTGGGAATAAAAATATACAAATTAATTGATAAAATAAGATATACCAGTATGAAAGAATATAAAGAGATATCTGTTAGAAAAATTAATAAGATTTATATATAGAAATAAAACTGTAAATAACACTGGAGGTAGAGGGGCCTATAAACAGAAGAGGGGAAGAAATTAGTCATCTTTCAAAAACCCAAGAGTAATGGATTATTTTGTTATTTTCTCTTGTTTATTTGATTCACCCAAACTGATACATTGCCTCTTACATAAACTCTATCAATTTAATTCTGGACTTGAATTTTTTCTCTAGGTCTCTCAATTTTGGTTTGTTTGCTTTCTCTCCCTTTCCTTTTTCTTGGTTCATTATTCTTCCTGGAAAAGTTTTTGAGTTAATCATATAGTAATTTACAGCATTTGGGGGATAGATACAAGATGTTGAAGCTTCTGAGATATTTGTCTTGTTTTCTGATTATTTTATACAAGCTAATATTACATATAGTTTTTTGTTTTTTGTTTTGTTTTTTTTTTGAGACAGAGTCTCGCTCTGTCGCCCAGGCTGGAGTGCAGTGGTACCATCTTGGCTCACTGCAAGCTCTGCCTCCTGGGTTCACGCCATTCTTCTGCCTACATATACTATTTTTAATAATATATTCTTGCTTATGTATATATAGTATCTTCTCCTTTGCTGTGTGGATTTAAATAAAAATTTTTAAACTTTTTTTTCCTTGTTTTGTTTTAGTTTCTTCTGTTTTCCTTTTTGTTTCTCCTGTTGACTTACTTTGCTTTCTGTTATGTTAGATCTTCTAACAGTTATTAGGCTGGTTTCTTCCAGCTGTGAAACTTCCTTTTTCTCTGATTGGACTCTGATTTTTCCTTTGCCCCATCATCATGGGGTATTAGAGGGAGACTAGAAGTCTAAGGCAGACTTGGCTATTCCTTTCAGCCCCATCCTGGCACTGTCTCATCACGGTGGCTACACCAGCTGGTCCTGGTTTCCATTTTCTTTTCTTTTCTTCACTTGTAGGAACCATTCTTATTCTGCTCTTTCTTAGAAACAAGCAGCCACCAGATAGTGCTTCTTCCTTGGAGATCTGAGTCCCATTTCCATACAGCCTCTTCTCTGAACTCTTGAGTGTACATGTGCTGGGCAACAGCCCCCCTTAGACATCTACACAGTACTTCCTCCAAAATTCTGGATTCTCATCACAACATCTTTCTTCTCTTTTTACTCCATCCTTCTAATTGGTAGCTCTTTTTGCAATTGCCACATGTGTTACCTCAGTGTTTTCTTTTTCCTATTCCAGTACTTAAAAAATAAAATGAAACAAAACAAAAACCTTCTATTACCCATTTCTTGGTTCCTTGTTTTTTGATACAAACTTGACTGATACCAGACCTTTCCATGTGGGTCCTCATTCTTACTTATTCATTAACATTTTAAAATTAAGAACTAAGCTACCTAGTCAGAACTGCGTCAACAGATAGCTTCATCACTATTTAAGACCCCGTTTCACTGGGGCACTTCAAGGTCTTTATACCAAGGTACTTTCTCTGGTCTGTTTGGTCCTTTTAGAGATAACTCTTCTATTACTTGCCTGAGGGATAACTGCCAGCTATTTGGTGTGCAAAGTTGAAGAGGACGAAGATAGAGCCACGTTTTCTATATGTGAACTCCCAAGTAACACCACCGTTTTCTGATCTTTACCTCAACCTTATCCTCTATAGTATCCAGTACTTCTAAGTTCTGTACTTCCCTGGCATTCAGAGAACAATTTGGGCCATTTGTCAATTTACTCACTCTGTAAAACTTCTGCCTGTAGCTTTCCCCATGGAGAGCATGGCTGTTTCACATATAATTTGCTCTTTGGTAAAATTGCTGAATTATCATATTTCTCTATGCCCCATCTATATTTTTCCATTTTACCGATTTGTACATTTTAATTGGCTATTGTCTTAAACTGTTCCTTTCATTTGGAAAATTCAAAATCTTTCCTCCTTTTTAAAGATATCAAAAGTTAGATGAAAATAAAGGCATTCTCCTCTTATAATAGTGGAAATGGGAGTATAAAATACATAATATTTTGAAGGGCAATGTGGCAATATAAGTCCCCAGTCTCAACAGAAAAACTTTTTAAACACAATTTTTCTCTACTTTACCATAAGGAAAACTTTGAAATACATAAACATTCATATATAAGAATGCCCACCTGTAATAATAAAATGTGTAAAACAATCAAAGTACTCTAACATTGGTGGTTAGATTGTATTTAAGCCAGCTCATAGAAATAAAAGCATTTTTCAAAAGTTAAAAAAAAATTTTCTGTAAGTTTATGAGAAGTAAAATCACTATATATAATTCCTAATTTAGTAAAATAAAAATAATCATTTATGCACATGCATAGAAAATAGACTGAAGCAAAATGAAATAAAATATTAATAGTGGCGGAAATACATATTATGTTAATTTCATTTATAAATATTTATTTTCTTTTTTTGTTTTCTTGTTTTTTTTCTTTTTTTTTTGTTTTGACACAGTGTCTCACTCTCTCCCAGGCTGGAGTGCAGTGACACAACCATGGCTCACTGCAGCCTCCACCTCCACCATGCCTGACTAATTTTTTATTTTTTGTAGAGACATGATTTTTGCCATGTTTCCCAGGCTGCTCTCAAGCTACTAAGCTCAAGCGATCTGCCCACCTTGGCCTCCCAAAGTTCTGTGCTTACAGGCGTGAGCCACCACACCCAGCTAATTTTCTTTATTTTAAATATAAAACTTATATAGATTAGTTTTATATTAAGATATGTATTTAAATAGAAAACTAATATACATTAGTTATGTAATTAATTATAGATTTTAAATATTTTGAAAAGCATCTTATATTTAATCATGTGAAACACTTTTCACTGGAAATATTCAACTAGGATTGTTTATCGCAGAAAATAATAGCTAAAATATTGATTCTGTCCAGTGGTCCAACCTAATGTTTGGCTTCACCTTCTGGATATAAAATGTTATTTTAATAATAATTATACAATAATAAGGGAAAAAGAATTGTCATGGTGTAGGTAAAGGCTTGCTAATAATTAACAGCTATTTGACATTTTGCATCCATTCTTACAACAGTTATGAAAGAAGTGCTATTTCTGTTCATTTGATAGTTCCGAAAATTGGAAGTTTTACAACACACTAAGTGATGCTTCTCAGTTACATTGCGTGTAAGGAGCTGAAATAGAATTAGCTGAATTTAAATAGCTCCACTTGAGGACCTACGATCTCAGGACAGCAGCAGGTAATAAAATGGACTTTGGTGTCTCAGTATATCTCAAGAGCATGGACTCTTTCCATCTTATTGCACATGGCATACAATGCACAGTGATTCAGAACTGCTGATTTCTACTTATAATCTTAATTCATATAAAACTTTAGTGACAAGACTGGAAAAACAATCAGGCTTTGTAGGAATTGCCTTTAATTATAACATTTTATTTGGGGAATAGTTATTAAGTGTTAGACAATAACATTTTTTTAAAGTCTTAATATGAAGAATTAAATTTAAAGGGGAGAATTTACTGCCCATGAGACCTGTTCACAAGGACCAGTTAAAAAGTTACTAGAAGTTCAATATTGACATTTAAAATAATCTTTAAATGTTACAAAACAACCATTAGGAACAATATTTTTAGTATTACAACACAAAATATGTTTATGACATAAAAGTAAATGTAAGACAAAAATTTAAAAAAATTATTTGTTTATGATTATGTTGATGAAAATAATATAATTCACAAGGAAAAAATCAAACATATAGGAAAAATGCTATATATTTAATGGTGCCTGTATTTGGACAATGAGACAATAGGTAATTTTTTCTCAAATTTGTATGTTATTTAATAATATTTATCAATGCATTTCTATGTTTACATTTAAATTAAAAAATAGAAATAGGGCCAGGTGTGGTAGCTCACACCTGTAATTCTAGCACTTTGAGAGACAGAGGCGGGGGTGATCACCTGAGGTCAAGAGTTCCAGACTACCCTGGCCAACATGGTGAAAGCCCGGCTCTACTATAAATACAAAAATCAGCCAGACATGGTAGTGCTTTCCTGTAGTCCCAGCTGCTTGGAAGGCTGAGGCAGGAGAATCGCCTGAACCTGGGAGGTGGAGACTGCAGTTAGCTGAGATCACGCCACTGTACTCCAGCCTGGGCAACAGAGTGAGACTTTGTCTCAAATAATAATAATAATAGAAATAGGTTTCATGGCATTAAATATTTAACAAAATAAGACATATAAAATAGACTAAAATAGGTATATTTAAAACATTTTCAAAGGCAAGAAAAAGAAAGAATACATTTCCAGAAAAATATGTTTTGGTGTAGGGGCTAATATTAAGTAGAGAAGATAAGGTCAATGGCAGGTCCAGCTATGAGAACTAAACTGACTTCTACAACATGATTCAAAAATGTAAGTCTTTGTTTTTGTTGTTGTTGTTGTTGTTGTTGTTGTTGTTGTTGTTGTTGTTGTTTAGAAAGAGTGTCTTGTTCTGTTACCCAGGCTGGAGTGTAGAGGTGTGGTCATAGCTCACTCTAACCTCACCTCGAACTTCTGGGCTCAAGTGATTCTCTTTTCTCAGCCACAGGCTATCGGGGGAACCAGCCCCAAATATTTCAACGTAGGTTCTTTCTATTTTCCCTAAGTGTCGGCTGGTCTGAGAAATAAAGAGAAAGAGTACAAAGAAACGAATTTTGCA